>NC_000011.10:51622721-51784209 GCF_000001405.40 Homo sapiens | reverse complement strand
TCAATTCCTGAAGTGGAACACAAACATCACAAAGCAGTTTCTGAGAATGATTCTGTTTAGTTTTTCTGTGAAGATGAACCCGTTTCCAACGAAATCTTCACAGAGGTCCACATATCAACTTGCAGAATCCAAAGAAAGAGAGTTTCAAAAGTGCTCCATCAACATGATTGTTCACCTCTGTGAGTTGAATGCAGTCATCACAGGAAACATTCTGAGAATGCTTCTGTCTAGGTTTGATGTGAAGATATACCCGTTTCGAAGGAAGGCCACAAAGTGGTCCAAATATCCACTTGCAGATTCTACAAAAAGAGTGTTTGAAAGCTGAACTATGAAAGCAAGGTTCAACTCTGTGAGTTGAATGCAAACATCACAAAGAAGTTTCTCAGCATGCTTCCGTGTAGTTCTGGGAAGTTTATCCCGTTTCCAACGAAATCCTCAGACAAGTCCAAATATCCACTTGCAGATTCTACAGAAAGTGTGTTTGGAAACTGCTCCATCTAAAGGAATGTTCAGCTCTGTTAGTTCAATGCAATGATCACTAAGAATTGTCTGTGAATGCTTCCGTTTGGTTTTTAGATGAAGTTATTTCCTTTACTACAGTAGGCCTCAAAGCAGTCCAAATCTCCAATCGCAGATTCTACAAAAAGATTGTTTACAACCTGCTCTATCTATAGGAATGTTCAACTCTGTGAGTCGAATGCAATCATCACAAAGTAGTTTCTGAGAATGCTTCCATCTAGTTTTTATGTGAAGATTTTCCTTTTCCACCACAGGCCTCAAAGCCCTCCAAATGTCCACTTGCAGATTCTAGAAAAAGAGGGTTTCAAAGCTGCTCTTTCAAGAGGAAAGTTCAATTCCTGAAGTGGAACACAAACATCACAAAGCAGTTTCTGAGAATGCTTCTGTTTAGTTTTTCTGTGAAGATGAACCCGTTTCCAACGAAATCTTCACAGAGGTCCACATATCCACTTGCAGAATCCAAAGAAAGAGAGTTTCAAAACTGCTCCATCAGCAGGATTGTTCACCTCTGTGAGTTGAATGCAGTCATCACAGGAAACATTCTGAGAATGCTTCTGTCTAGGTTTGATGTGAAGATATACCCGTTTCGAAGGAAGGCCACAAAGTGGTCCAAATATCCACTTGCAGATTCTACAAAAAGAGTGTTTGAAAGCTGAACTATGAAAGCAAGGTTCAACTCTGTGAGTTGAATGCAAACATCACAAAGAAGTTTCTCAGAATGCTTCCGTGTAGTTCTGGGAAGTTTATCCCGTTTCCAACGAAATCCTCAGAGAAGTCCAAATATCCACTTGCAGATTCTACAGAAAGTGTGTTTGGAAACTGCTCCATCTAAAGGAATGTTCAGCTCTGTTAGTTGAATCCAATGATCACTAAGAATTGTCTGTGAATGCTTCCGTTTGGTTTTTAGATGAAGTTATTTCCTTTACTACAGTAGGCCTCAAAGCAGTCCAAATCTCCAATCGCAGATTCTACAAAAAGATTGTTTACAACCTGCTCTATCTATAGGAATGTTCAACTCTGTGAGTCGAATACAATCATCACAAAGCAGTTTCTGAGAATGCTTCCATCTAGTTTTTATGTGAAGATTTTCCTTTTCCACCACAGGCCTCAAAGCCCTCCAAATGTCCACTTGCAGATTCTAGAAAAAGAGGGTTTCAGAGCTGCTCTGTCAAGAGGAAAGTTCAATTCTTGAAGTGGAACACAAACATCACAAAGCAGTTTCTGAGAATGCTTCTGTTTAGTTTTTCTGTGAAGATGAACCCGTTTCCAACGAAATCTTCACAGAGGTCCACATATCCACTTGCAGAATCCAAAGAAAGAGAGTTTCAAAACTGCTCCATCAACAGGATTGTTCACCTCTGTGAGTTGAATGCAGTCATCACAGGAAACATTCTGAGAATGCTTCTGTCTAGGTTTGATGTGAAGATATACCCGTTTCGAAGGAAGGCCACAAAGTGGTCCAAATATCCACTTGCAGATTCTACAAAAAGAGTGTTTGAAAGCTGAACTATGAAAGCAAGGTTCAACTCTGTGAGTTGAATGCAAACATCACAAAGAAGTTTCTCACAATGCTTCCGTGTAGTTCTGGGAAGTTTATCCCGTTTCCAACGAAATCCTCAGAGAAGTCCAAATATCCACTTGCAGATTCTACAGAAAGTGTGTTTGGAAACTGCTCCATCTAAAGGAATGTTCAGCTCTGTTAGTTCAATCCAATGATCACTAAGAATTGTCTGTGAATGCTTCCGTTTGGTTTTTAGATGAAGTTATTTCCTTTACTACAGTAGGCCTCAAAGCAGTCCAAATCTCCAATCGCAGATTCTACAAAAAGATTGTTTACAACCTGCTCTATCTATAGGAATGTTCAACTCTGTGAGTCGAATGCAATCATCACAAAGTAGTTTCTGAGAATGCTTCCATCTAGTTTTTATGTGAAGATTTTCCTTTTCCACCACAGGCCTCAAAGCCCTCCAAATGTCCACTTGCAGATTCTAGAATAAGAGGGTTTCAGAGCTGCTCTGTCAAGAGGAAAGTTCAATTCCTGAAGTGGAACACAAACATCACAAAGCAGTTTCTGAGAATGCTTCTGTTTAGTTTTTCTGTGAAGATGAACCCGTTTCCAACGAAATCTTCACAGAGGTCCACATATCCACTTGCAGAATCCAAAGAAAGAGAGTTTCAAAACTGCTCCATCAGCAGGATTGTTCACCTCTGTGAGTTGAATGCAGTCATCACAGGAAACATTCTGAGAATGCTTCTGTCTAGGTTTGATGTGAAGATATACCCGTTTCGAAGGAAGGCCAGAAAGTGGTCCAAATATCCACTTGCAGATTCTACAAAAAGAGTGTTTGAAAGCTGAACTATGAAAGCAAGGTTCAACTCTGTGAGTTGAATGCAAACATCACAAAGAAGTTTCTCAGAATGCTTCCGTGTAGTTCTGGGAAGTTTATCCCGTTTCCAACGAAATCCTCAGAGAGGTCCAAATATCCACTTGCAGATTCTACAGAAAGTGTGTTTGGAAACTGCGCCATCGAAAGGAATGTTCAGCTCTGTTAGTTCAATCCAATGATCACTAAGAATTGTCTGTGAATGCTTCCGTTTGGTTTTTAGATGAAGTTATTTCCTTTACTACAGTAGGCCTCAAAGCAGTCCAAATCTCCAATCGCAGATTCTACAAAAAGATTGTTTACAACCTGCTCTATCTATAGGAATGTTCAACTCTGTGAGTCGAATGCAATCATCACAAAGTAGTTTCTGAGAATGCTTCCATCTAGTTTTTATGTGAAGATTTTCCTTTTCCACCACAGGCCTCAAAGCCCTCCAAATGTCCACTTGCAGATTCTAGAAAAAGAGGGTTTCAGAGCTGCTCTGTCAAGAGGAAAGTTCAATTCCTGAAGTGGAACACAAACATCACAAAGCAGTTTCTGAGAATGCTCCTGTTTAGTTTTTCTGTGAAGATGAACCCGTTTCCAACGAAATCTTCACAGAGGTCCACATATCCACTTGCAGAATCCAAAGAAAGAGAGTTTCAAAACTGCTCCATCAACAGGATTGTTCACCTCTGTGAGTTGAATGCAGTCATCACAGGAAACATTCTGAGAATGCTTCTGTCTAGGTTTGATGTGAAGATATATCCGTTTCGAAGGAAGGCCACAAAGTGGTCCAAATATCCACTTGCAGATTCTACAAAAAGAGTGTTTGAAAGCTGAATTATGAAAGCAAGGTTCAACTCTGTGAGTTGAATGCAAACATCACAAAGAAGTTTCTCAGAATGCTTCCGTGTAGTTCTGGGAAGTTTATCCCGTTTCCAACGAAATCCTCAGAGAAGTCCAAATATCCACTTGCAGATTCTACAGAAAGTGTGTTTGGAAACTGCGCCATCTAAAGGAATGTTCAGCTCTGTTAGTTCAATGCAATGATCACTAAGAATTGTCTGTGAATGCTTCCGTTTGGTTTTTAGATGAAGTTATTTCCTTTACTACAGTAGGCCTCAAAGCAGTCCAAATCTCCAATCGCAGATTCTACAAAAACACTGTTTACAACCTGCTCTATCTATAGGAATGTTCAACTCTGTGAGTCGAATGCAATCATCACAAAGTAGTTTCTGAGAATGCTTCCATCTAGTTTTTATGTGAAGATTTTCCTTTTCCACCACAGGCCTCAAAGCCCTCCCAATGTCCACTTGCAGATTCTAGAAAAAGAGGGTTTCAGAGCTGCTCTGTCAAGAGGAAAGTTCATTTCTTGAAGAGGAACACAAACATCACAAAGCAGTTTCTGAGAATGCTTCTGTTTAGTTTTTCTGTGAAGATGAACCCGTTTCCAACGAAATCTTCACAGAGGTCCACATATCCACTTGCAGAATCCAAAGAAAGAGAGTTTCAAAACTGCTCCATCAGCAGGATTGTTCACCTCTGTGAGTTGAATGCAGTCATCACAGGAAACATTCTGAGAATGCTTCTGTCTAGGTTTGATGTGAAGATATACCCTTTTCAAAGGAAGGCCACAAAGTGGTCCAAATATCCACTTGCAGATTCTACAAAAAGAGTGTTTGAAAGCTGAACTATGAAAGCAAGGTTCAACTCTGTGAGTTGAATGCAAACATCACAAAGAAGTTTCTCACAATGCTTCCGTGTAGTTCTGGGAAGTTTATCCCGTTTCCAACGAAATCCTCAGAGAAGTCCAAATATCCACTTGCAGATTCTACAGAAAGTGGGTTTGGAAACTGCTCCATCTAAAGGAATGTTCAGCTCTGTTAGTTCAATCCAATGATCACTAAGAATTGTCTGTGAATGCTTCCGTTTGGTTTTTAGATGAAGTTATTTCCTTTACTACAGTAGGCCTCAAAGCAATCCAAATCTCCAATCGCAGATTCTACAAAAACATTGTTTACAACCTGCTCTATCTATAGGAATGTTCAACTCTGTGAGTCGAATGCAATCATCACAAAGTAGTTTCTGAGAATGCTTCCATCTAGTTTTTATGTGAAGATTTTCCTTTTCCACAACAGGCCTCAAAGCCCTCCAAATGTCCACTTGCAGATTCTAGAAAAAGAGGGTTTCAGAGCTGCTCTGTCAAGAGGAAAGTTCAATTCTTGAAGTGGAACACAAACATCACAAAGCAGTTTCTGAGAATGCTCCTGTTTAGTTTTTCTGTGAAGATGTACCCGTTTCCAACGAAATCTTCACAGAGTTCCACATATCCACTTGCAGAATCCAAAGAAAGAGAGTTTCAAAACTGCTCCAACAGCAGGATTGTTCACCTCTGTGAGTTGAATGCAGTCATCACAGGAAACATTCTGAGAATGCTTCTGTCTAGGTTTGATGTGAAGATATACCCGTTTCGAAGGAAGGCCACAAAGTGGTCCAAATATCCACTTGCAGATTCTACAAAAAGAGTGTTTGAAAGCTGAACTATGAAAGCAAGGTTCAACTCTGTGAGTTGAATGCAAACATCACAAAGAAGTTTCTCAGAATGCTTCCCTGTAGTTCTGGGAAGTTTATCCCGTTTCCAACGAAATCCTCAGAGAGGTCCAAATATCCACTTGCAGATTCTACAGAAAGTGTGTTTGGAAACTGCGCCATCTAAAGGAATGTTCAGCTCTGTTAGTTCAATGCAATGATCACTAAGAATTGTCTGTGAATGCTTCCGTTTGGTTTTTAGATGAAGTTATTTCCTTTATTACAGTAGGCCTCAAAGCAGTCCAAATCTCCAATCGCAGATTCTACAAAAAGATTGTTTACAACCTGCTCTATCTGTAGGAATGTTCAACTCTGTGAGTCGAATGCAATCATCACAAAGTAGTTTCTGAGAATGCTTCCATCTAGTTTTTATGTGAAGATTTTCCTTTTCCACCACAGGCCTCAAAGCCCTCCAAATGTCCACTTGCAGATTCTAGAAAAAGAGGGTTTCAGAGCTGCTCTGTCAAGAGGAAAGTTCAATTCTTGAAGTGGAACACAAACATCACAAAGCAGTTTCTGAGAATGCTTCTGTTTAGTTTTTCTGTGAAGATGAACCCGTTTCCAACGAAATCTTCACAGAGGTCCACATATCCACTTGCAGAATCCAAAGAAAGAGAGTTTCAAAACTGCTCCAACAGCAGGATTGTTCACCTCTGTGAGTTGAATGCAGTCATCACAGGAAACATTCTGAGAATGCTTCTGTCTAGGTTTGATGTGAAGATATACCCGTTTCGAAGGAAGGCCACAAAGTGGTCCAAATATCCACTTGCAGATTCCACAAAAAGAGTGTTTGAAAGCTGAACTAGGAAAGCAAGGTTCAACTCTGTGAGTTGAATGCAAACATCACAAAGAAGTTTCTCACAATGCTTCCGTGTAGTTCTGGGAAGTTTATCCCGTTTCCAACGAAATCCTCAGAGAAGTCCAAATATCCACTTGCAGATTCTACAGAAAGTGTGTTTGGAAACTGCTCCATCTAAAGGAATGTTCAGCTCTGTTAGTTCAATCCAATGATCACTAAGAATTGTCTGTGAATGCTTCCGTTTGGTTTTTAGATGAAGTTATTTCCTTTACTACAGTAGGCCTCAAAGCAGTCCAAATCTCCAATCGCAGATTCTACAAAAAGATTGTTTACAACCTGCTCTATCTATAGGAATGTTCAACTCTGTGAGTCGAATGCAATCATCACAAAGTAGTTTCTGAGAATGCTTCCATCTAGTTTTTATGTGAAGATTTTCCTTTTCCACCACAGCCCTCAAAGCCCTCCAAATGTCCACTTGCAGATTCTAGAAAAAGAGGGTTTCAGAGCTGCTCTGTCAAGAGGAAAGTTCAATTCTTGAAGTGGAACACAAACATCACAAAGCAGTTTCTGAGAATGCTCCTGTTTAGTTTTTCTGTGAAGATGAACCCGTTTCCAACGAAACCTTCACAGAGGTCCACATATCCACTTGCAGAATCCAAAGAAAGAGAGTTTCAAAACTGCTCCATCAACAGGATTGTTCACCTCTGTGAGTTGAATGCAGTCATCACAGGAAACATTCTGAGAATGTTTCTGTCTAGGTTTGAAGTGAAGATATACCCGTTTCGAAGGAAGGCCACAAAGTGGTCCAAATATCCACTTGCAGATTCTACAAAAAGAGTGTTTGAAAGCTGAACTATGAAAGCAAGGTTCAACTCTGTGAGTTGAATGCAAACATCACAAAGAAGTTTCTCAGCATGCTTCCGTGTAGTTCTGGGAAGTTTATCCCGTTTCCAACGAAATCCTCAGAGAGGTCCAAATATCCACTTGCAGATTCTACAGAAAGTGTGTTTGGAAACTGCGCCATCTAAAGCAATGTTCAGCTCTGTTAGTTCAATGCAATGATCACTAAGAATTGTCTGTGAATGCTTCCGTTTGGTTTTTAGATGAAGTTATTTCCGTTTACTACAGTAGGCCTCAAAGCAGTCCAAATCTCCAATCGCAGATTCTACAAAAAGATTGTTTACAACCTGCTCTATCTATAGGAATGTTCAACTCTGTGAGTCGAATGCAATCATCACAAAGTAGTTTCTGAGAATGCTTCCATCTAGTTTTTATGTGAAGATTTTCCTTTTCCACCACAGGCCTCAAAGCCCTCCAAATGTCCACTTGCAGATTCTAGAATAAGAGGATTTCAGAGCTGCTCTGTCAAGAGGAAAGTTCAATTCCTGAAGTGGAACACAAACATCACAAAGCAGTTTCTGAGAAAGTTCCTGTTTAGTTTTTCTGTGAAGATGAACCCGTTTCCAACGAAATCTTCACAGAGGTCCACATATCCAGCTGCAGAATCCAAAGAAAGAGAGTTTCAAAACTGCTCCATCAGCAGGATTGTTCACCTCTGTGAGTTGAATGCAGTCATCACAGGAAACATTCTGAGAATGCTTCTGTCTAGGTTTGATGTGAAGATATACCCGTTTCGAAGGAAGGCCACAAAGTGGTCCAAATATCCACTTGCAGATTCTACAAAAAGAGTGTTTGAAAGCTGAACTATGAAAGCAAGGTTCAACTCTGTGAGTTGAATGCAAACATCACAAAGAAGTTTCTCAGAATGCTTCCGTGTAGTTCTGGGAAGTTTATCCCGTTTCCAACGAAATCCTCAGAGAAGTCCAAATATCCACTTGCAGATTCTACAGAAAGTGGGTTTGGAAACTGCTCCATCTAAAGGAATGTTCAGCTCTGTTAGTTCAATCCAATGATCACTAAGAATTGTCTGTGAATGCTTCCGTTTGGTTTTTAGATGAAGTTATTTCCTTTACTACAGTAGGCCTCAAAGCAGTCCAAATCTCCAATCGCAGATTCTGCAAAAAGATTGTTTACAACCTGCTCTATCTAAAGGAATGTTCAACTCTGTGAGTCGAATGCAATCATCACAAAGTAGTTTCTGAGAATGCTTCCATCTAGTTTTTATGTGAAGATTTTCCTTTTCCACCACAGGCCTCAAAGCCCTCCAAATGTCCACATGCAGATTATAGAATATGAGGGTTTCAGAGCTGCTCTGTCAAGAGGAAAGTTCAATTCCTGAAGTGGAACACAAACATCACAAAGCAGTTTCTGAGAATGCTTCCTGTTTAGTTTTTCTGTGAAGATGAACCCGTTTCCAACGAAATCTTCACGGAGGTCCACATATCCACTTGCAGAATCCAAAGAAAGAGAGTTTCAAAACTGCTCCATCAGCAGGATTGTTCACCTCTGTGAGTTGAATGCAGTCATCACAGGAAAACATTCTGAGAATGCTTCTGTCTAGGTTTGATGTGAAGATATACCCGTTTCGAAGGAAGGCCACAAAGTGGTCCACATATCCACTTGCAGATTCTACAAAAAGAGTGTTTGAAAGCTGAACTATGAAAGAAAGGTTCAACTCTGTGAGTTGAATGCAAACATCACAAAGAAGTTTCTCAGAATGCTTCCGTGTAGTTCTAGGAAGTTTATCCCGTTTCCAACGAAATCCTCAGAGAGGTCCAAATATCCACTTGCAGATTCTACAGAAAGTGTGTTTGGAAACTCCTCCATCTAAAGGAATGTTCAGCTCTGTTAGTTCAATCCAATGATCACTAAGAATTGTCTGTGAATGCTTCCGTTTGGTTTTTAGATGAAGTTATTTCCTTTACTACAGTAGGCCTCAAAGCAGTCCAAATCTCCAATCGCAGATACTACAAAAAGATTGTTTACAACCTGCTCTATCTATAGGAATGTTCAACTCTGTGAGTCGAATGCAATCATCACAAAGTAGTTTCTGAGAATGCTTCCATCTACTTTTTATGTGAAGATTTTCCTTTTCCACCACAGGCCTCAAAGCCCTCCAAATGTCCACTTGCAGATTCTAGAAAAAGAGGGTTTCAGAGCTGCTCTGTCAAGAGGAAAGCTCAATTCTTGCAGTGGAACACAAACATCACAAAGCAGTTTCTGAGAATGCTTCTGTTTAGTTTTTCTGTGAAGATGAACCCGTTTCCAACGAAATCTTCACAGAGGTCCACATATCCACTTGCAGAATCCAAAGAAAGAGAGTTTCAAAACTGCTCCATCAGCAGGATTGTTCACCTCTGTGAGTTGAATGCAGTCATCACAGGAAACATTCTGAGAATGCTTCTGTCTAGGTTTGATGTGAAGATATACCCGTTTCGAAGGAAGGCCACAAAGTGGTCCAAATATCCACTTGCAGATTCTACAAAAAGAGTGTTTGAAAGCTGAACTATGAAAGCAAGGTTCAACTCTGTGAGTTGAATGCAAACATCACAAAGAAGTTTCTCAGAATGCTTCCGTGTAGTTCTGGGAAGTTTATCCCGTTTCCAACGAAATCCTCAGAGAGGTCCAAATATCCACTTGCAGATTTTACAGAAAGTGTGTTTGGAAACTACGCCATCTAAAGGAATGTTCAGCTCTGTTAGATCAATGCAATGATCACTAAGAATTGTCTGTGAATGCTTCCGTTTGGTTTTTAGATGAAGTTATTTCCTTTACTACAGTAGGCCTCAAAGCAGTCCAAATCTCCAATCGCAGACTCTACAAAAAGATTGTTTACAACCTGCTCTATCTATAGGAATGTTCAACTCTGTGAGTCGAATGCAGTCATCACAAAGTAGTTTCTGAGAATGCTTCCATCTAGTTTTTATGTGAAGATTTTCCTTTTCCACCACAGGCCTCAAAGCCCTCCAAATGTCCACTTGCAGATTCTAGAAAAAGAGGGTTTCAGAGCTGCTCTGTCAAGAGGAAAGTTCAATTCTTGAAGTGGAACACAAACATCACAAAGCAGTTTCTGAGAATGCTCCTGTTTAGTTTTTCTGTGAAGATGAACCCGTTTCCAACGAAATCTTCACAGAGGTCCACATATCCACTTGCAGAATCCAAAGAAAGAGAGTTTCAAAACTGCTCCATCAGCAGGATTGTTCACCTCTGTGAGTTGAATGCAGTCATCACAGGAAACATTCTGAGAATGCTTCTGTCTAGGTTTGATGTGAAGATATACCCGTTTCGAAGGAAGGCCAGAAAGTGGTCCAAATATCCACTTGCAGATTCTACAAAAAGAGTGTTTGAAAGCTGAACTATGAAAGCAAGGTTCAACTCTGTGAGTTGAATGCAAACATCACAAAGAAGTTTCTCAGAATGCTTCCGTGTAGTTCTGGGAAGTTTATCCCGTTTCCAACGAAATCCTCAGAGAAGTCCAAATATCCACTTGCAGATTCTACAGAAAGTGGGTTTGGAAACTGCTCCATCTAAAGGAATGTTCAGCTCTGTTAGTTCAATCCAATGATCACTAAGAATTGTCTGTGAATGCTTCCGTTTGGTTTTTAGATGAAGTTATTTCCTTTACTACAGTAGGCCTCAAAGCAGTCCAAATCTCCAATCGCAGATTCTACAAAAAGATTGTTTACAACCTGCTCTATCTATAGGAATGTTCAACTCTGTGAGTCGAATGCAATCATCACAAAGTAGTTTCTGATAATGCTTCCATCTAGTTTTTATGTGAAGATTTTCCTTTTCCACCACAGGCCTCAAAGCCCTCCAAATGTCCACTTGCAGATTCTAGAAAAAGAGGGTTTCAGAGCTGCTCTGTCAAGAGGAAAGTTCAATTCTTGAAGTGGAACACAAACATCACAAAGCAGTTTCTGAGAATGCTCCTGTTTAGTTTTTCTGTGAAGATGAACCCGTTTCCAACGAAATCTTCACAGAGGTCCACATATCCACTTGCAGAATCCAAAGAAAGAGAGTTTCAAAACTGCTCCATCAGCAGGATTGTTCACCTCTGTGAGTTGAATGCAGTCATCACAGGAAACATTCTGAGAATGCTTCTGTCTAGGTTTGATGTGAAGATATACCCGTTTCGAAGGAAGGCCACAAAGTGGTCCAAATATCCACTTGCAGATTCTACAAAAAGAGTGTTTGAAAGCTGAACTATGAAAGCAAGGTTCAACTCTATGAGTTGAATGGAAACATCACAAAGAAGTTTCTCAGAATGCTTCCGTGTAGTTCTGGGAAGTTTATCCCGTTTCCAACGAAATCCTCAGAGAGGTCCAAATATCCACTTGCAGATTCTACAGAAAGTGTGTTTGGAAACTGCGCCATCTAAAGGAATGTTCAGCTCTGTTAGTTCAATTCAATGATCACTAAGAATTGTCTGTGAATGCTTCCGTTTGGTTTTTAGATGAAGTTATTTCCTTTACTACAGTAGGCCTCAAAGCAGTCCAAATCTCCAATCGCAGATTCTACAAAAAGATTGTTTACAACCTGCTCTATCTATAGGAATGTTCAACTCTGTGAGTCGAATGCAATCATCACAAAGTAGTTTCTGAGAATGCTTCCATCTAGTTTTTATGTGAAGATTTTCCTTTTCCACCACAGGCCTCAAAGCCCTCCAAATGTCCACTTGCAGATTCTAGAAAAAGAGGGTTTCAGAGCTGCTCTGTCAAGAGGAAAGTTCAATTCTTGAAGAGGAACACAAACATCACAAAGCAGTTTCTGAGAATGCTCCTGTTTAGTTTTTCTGTGAAGATGAACCCGTTTCCAACGAAATCTTCACAGAGGTCCACATATCCACTTGCAGAATCCAAAGAAAGAGAGTTTCAAAACTGCTCCATCAGCAGGATTGTTCACCTCTGTGAGTTGAATGCAGTCATCACAGGAAACATTCTGAGAATGCTTCTGTCTAGGTTTGATGTGAAGATATACCCGTTTCGAAGGAAGGCCACAAAGTGGTCCAAATATCCACTTGCAGATTCTACAAAAAGAGTGTTTGAAAGCTGAACTATGAAAGCAAGGTTCAACTCTGTGAGTTGAATGCAAACATCACAAAGAAGTTTCTCACAATGCTTCCGTGTAGTTCTGGGAAGTTTATCCCGTTTCCAACGAAATCCTCAGAGAGGTCCAAATATCCACTTGCAGATTCTACAGAAAGTGTGTATGGAAACTGCGCCATCTAAAGGAATGTTCAGCTCTGTTAGTTCAATCCAATGATCACTAAGAATTGTCTGTGAATGCTTCCGTTTGGTTTTTAGATGAAGTTATTTCCTTTACTACAGTGGGCCTCAAAGCAGTCCAAATCTCCAATCGCAGATTCTACAAAAAGATTGTTTACAACTTGCTCTATCTATAGGAATGTTCAACTCTGTGAGTCGAATGCAATCATCACAAAGTAGTTTCTGAGAATGCTTCCATCTAGTTTTTATGTGAAGATTTTCCTTTTCCACCACAGGCCTCAAAGCCCTCCAAATGTCCACTTGCAGACTCTAGAAAAAGAGGGTTTCAGAGCTGCTCTGTCAAGAGGAAAGTTCAATTCTTGAAGTGGAACACAAACATCACAAAGCAGTTTCTGAGAATGCTCCTGTTTAGTTTTTCTGTGAAGATGAAACCGTTTCCAACGAAATCTTCACAGAGGTCCACATATCCACTTGCAGAATCCAAAGAAAGAGAGTTTCAAAACTGCTCCATCAGCAGGATTGTTCACCTCTGTGAGTTGAATGCAGTCATCACAGGAAACATTCTGAGAATGCTTCTGTCTAGGTTTGATGTGAAGATATACCCGTTTCGAAGGAAGGCCACAAAGTGGTCCAAATATCCACTTGCAGATTCTACAAAAAGAGTGTTTGAAAGCTGAACTATGAAAGCAAGGTTCAACTCTGTGAGTTGAATGCAAACATCACAAAGAAGTTTCTCACAATGCTTCCGTGTAGTTCTGGGAAGTTTATCCCGTTTCCAACGAAATCGTCAGACAAGTCCAAATATCCACTTGCAGATTCTACAGAAAGTGTGTTTGGAAACTGCTCCATCTAAAGGAGTGTTCAGCTCTGTTAGTTCAATCCAATGATCACTAAGAATTGTCTGTGAATGCTTCCGTTTGGTTTTTAGATGAAGTTATTTCCTTTACTACAGTAGGCCTCAAAGCAGTCCAAATCTCCAATCGCAGATTCTACAAAAAGATTGTTTACAACCTGCTCTATCTATAGGAATGTTCAACTCTGTGAGTCGAATGCAATCATCACAAAGTAGTTTCTGAGAATGCTTCCATCTAGTTCTTATGTGAAGATTTTCCTTTTCCACCACAGGCCTCAAAGCCCTCCAAATGTCCACTTGCAGATTCTAGAAAAAGAGGGTTTCAGAGCTGCTCTGTCAAGAGGAAAGTTCAATTCTTGAAGTGGAACACAAACATCACAAAGTAGTTTCTGAGAATGCTTCTGTTTAGTTTTTCTGTGAAGATGAACCCGTTTCCAACGAAATCTTCACAGAGGTCCACATATCAACTTGCAGAATCCAAAGAAAGAGAGTTTCAAAAGTGCTCCATCAACAGGATTGTTCACCTCTGTGAGTTGAATGCAGTCATCACAGGAAACATTCTGAGAATGCTTCTGTCTAGGTTTGATGTGAAGATATACCCGTTTCGAAGGAAGGCCACAAAGTGGTCCAAATATCCACTTGCAGATTCTACAAAAAGAGTGTTTGAAAGCTGAACTATGAAAGCAAGGTTCAACTCTGTGAGTTGAATGCAAACATCACAAAGAAGTTTCTCAGCATGCTTCCGTGTAGTTCTGGGAAGTTTATCCCGTTTCCAACGAAATCCTCAGAGAGGTCCAAATATCCACTTGCAGATTCTACAGAAAGTGTGTTTGGAAACTGCGCCATCTAAAGCAATGTTCAGCTCTGTTAGTTCAATGCAATGATCACTAAGAATTGTCTGTGAATGCTTCCGTTTGGTTTTTAGATGAAGTTATTTCCTTTACTACAGTAGGCCTCAAAGCAGTCCAAATCTCCAATCGCAGATTCTACAAAAAGATTGTTTACAACCTGCTCTATGTATAGGAATGTTCAACTCTGTGAGTCGAATGCAATCATCACAAAGTAGTTTCTGAGAATGCTTCCATCTAGTTTTTATGTGAAGAGTTTCCTTTTCCACCACAGGCCACAAAGCCCTCCAAATGTCAACTTGCAGATTCTAGAAAAAGAGGGTTTCAGAGCTGCTCTGTCAAGAGGAAAGTTCAATTCCTGAAGTGGAACACAAACATCACAAAGCAGTTTCTGAGAATGCTCCTGTTTAGTTTTTCTGTGAAGATGAACCCGTTTCCAACGAAATCTTCACAGAGGTCCACATATCCACTTGCAGAATCCAAAGAAAGAGAGTTTCAAAACTGCTCCATCAGCAGGATTGTTCACCTCTGTGAGTTGAATGCAGTCATCACAGGAAACATTCTGAGAATGCTTCTGTCTAGGTTTGATGTGAAGATATACCCGTTTCGAAGGAAGGCCACAATGTGGTCCTAATATCCACTTGCAGATTCTACAGAAAGAGTGTTTCAAAGCTGAACTATGAAAGCAAGGTTCAACTCTGTGAGTTGAATGCAAACATCACAAAGAAGTTTCTCAGAATGCTTCCGTGTAGTTCTGGGAAGTTTATCCCCGTTTCCAACGAAATCCTCAGAGAGGTCCAAATATCCACTTGCAGATTCTACAGAAAGTGTGTTTGGAAACTGCTCCATCTAAAGGAATGTTCAGCTCTGTTAGTTCAATCCAATGATCACTAAGAATTGTCTGTGAATGCTTCCGTTTGGTTTTTAGATGAAGTTATTTCCTTTACTACAGTAGGCCTCAAAGCAGTCCAAATCTCCAATCGCAGATTCTACAAAAAGATTGTTTACAACCTGCTCTATCTATAGGAATGTTCAACTCTCTGAGTCGAATGCAATCATCACAAAGTAGTTTCTGAGAATGCTTCCATTTAGTTTTTATGTGAAGATTTTCCTTTTCCACCACAGGCCTCAAAGCCCTCCAAATGTCCACTTGCAGATTCTAGAAAAAGAGGGTTTCAGAGCTGCTCTGTCAAGAGGAATGTTCAACTCTTGAAGTGGAACACAAACATGATAATGCAGTTTCTGAGAATGCTCCTGTTTAGTTTTTCTGTGAAGATGAACCCGTTTCCAACGAAATCTTCACAGAGGTCCAAATATCCACTTGCAGAATCCAAAGAAAGAGAGTTTCAACACTGCTCCATCAGCAGGATTGTTCACCTCTGTGAGTTGAATGCAGTCATCACAGGAAACATTCTGAGAATGCTTCTGTCTAGGTTTGATGTGAAGATATACCCGTTTCGAAGGAAGGCCACAAAGTGGTCCAAACATCCACTTGCAGATTCTACAAAACGAGTGTTTGAAAGCTGAACTATGAAAGCAAGGTTCAACTCTGTGAGTTGAATGCAAACATCACAAAGAAGTTTCTCACAATTCTTCCGTGTAGTTCTGGGAAGTTTATCCCGTTTCCAACGAAATCCTCAGAGAAGTCCAAATATCCCCTTGCAGATTCTACAGAAAGTGGGTTTGGAAACTGCTCCATCTAAAGGAATGTTCAGCTCTGTTAGTTCAATCCAATGATCACTAAGAATTGTCTGTGAATGCTTCCGTTTGGTTTTTAGATGAAGTTATTTCCTTTACTACAGTAGGCCTCAAAGCAGTCCAAATCTCCAATCGCAGATTCTACAAAAAGATTGTTTACAACCTGCTCTATCTATAGGAATGTTCAACTCTGTGAGTCGAATGCAATCATCACAAAGTAGTTTCTGAGAATGCTTCCATCTAGTTTTTATGTGAAGATTTTCCTTTTCCACCACAGGCCTCAAAGCCCTCCAAATGTCCACTTGCAGATTCTAGAAAAAGAGGGTTTCAGAGCTGCTCTGTCAAGAGGAAAGTTCAATTCCTGAAGTGGAACACAAACATCACAAAGCAGTTTCTGAGAATGCTCCTGTTTAGTTTTTCTGTGAAGATGAACCCGTTTCCAACGAAATCTTCACAGAGGTCCACATATCCACTTGCAGAATCCAAAGACAGAGAGTTTCAAAACTGCTCCATCAACAGGATTGTTCACCTCTGTGAGTTGAATGCAGTCATCACAGGAAACATTCTGAGAATGCTTCTGTCTAGGTTTGATGTGAAGATATACCCGTTTCGAAGGAAGGCCACAAAGTGGTCCAAATATCCACTTGCAGATTCTACAAAAAGAGTGTTTGAAAGCTGAACTATGAAAGCAAGGTTCAACTCTGTGAGTTGAATGCAAACATCACAAAGAAGTTTCTCACAATGCTTCCGTGTAGTTCTGGGAAGTTTATCCCGTTTCCAACGAAATCCTCAGAGAAGTCCAAATATCCACTTGCAGATTCTACAGAAAGTGTGTTTGGAAACTGCGCCATCTAAAGGAATGTTCAGCTCTGTTAGTTCAATGCAATGATCACTAAGAATTGTCTGTGAATGCTTCCGTTTGGTTTTTAGATGAAGTTATTTCCTTTACTACAGTAGGCCTCAAAGCAGTCCAAATCTCCAATCGCAGATTCTACAAAAAGATTGTTTACAACCTGCTCTATCTATAGGAATGTTCAACTCTGTGAGTCGAATGCAATCATCACAAAGTAGTTTCTGAGAATGCTTCCATCTAGTTTTTATGTGAAGATTTTCCTTTTCCACCACAGGCCTCAAAGCCCTCCAAATGTCCACTTGCAGACTCTAGAAAAAGAGGGTTTCAGAGCTGCTCTGTCAAGAGGAAAGTTCAATTCTTGAAGTGGAACACAAACATCACAAAGCAGTTTCTGAGAATGCTTCTGTTTAGTTTTTCTGTGAAGATGAACCCGTTTCCAACGAAATCTTCACAGAGGTCCACATATCCACTTGCAGAATCCAAAGAAAGGGAGTTTCAAAACTGCTCCATCAGCAGGATTGTTCACCTCTGTGAGTTGAATGCAGTCATCACAGGAAACATTCTGAGAATGCTTCTGTCTAGGTTTGATGTGAAGATATACCCGTTTCGAAGGAAGGCCACAAAGTGGTCCAAATATCCACTTGCAGATTCTACAAAAAGAGTGTTTGAAAGCTGAACTATGAAAGCAAGGTTCAACTCTGTGAGTTGAATGCAAACATCACAAAGAAGTTTCTCAGAATGCTTCCCTGTAGTTCTGGGAAGTTTATCCCGTTTCCAACGAAATCCTCAGAGAAGTCCAAATATCCACTTGCAGATTCTACAGAAAGTGTGTTTGGAAACTGCTCCATCTAAAGGAATGTTCAGCTCTGTTAGTTCAATCCAATGATCACTAAGAATTGTCTGTGAATGCTTCCGTTTGGTTTTTAGATGAAGTTATTTCCTTTACTACAGTAGGCCTCAAAGCAGTCCAAATCTCCAATCGCAGATTCTACAAAAAGATTGTTTACAACCTGCTCTATCTATAGGAATGTTCAACTCTGTGAGTCGAATGCAATCATCACAAAGTAGTTTCTGAGAATGCTTCCATCTAGTTTTTATGTGAAGATTTTCCTTTTCCACCACAGGCCTCAAAGC
This sequence comes from Homo sapiens, assembly GCF_000001405.40. NCBI lineage: Eukaryota > Metazoa > Chordata > Mammalia > Primates > Hominidae > Homo > Homo sapiens. The sequence continues at coordinate 51,766,422 of NC_000011.10, read as the reverse complement.
CCTCCAAATGTCCACTTGCAGATTCTAGAAAAAGAGGGTTTCAGAGCTGCTCTGTCAAGAGGAAAGTTCAATTCCTGAAGTGGAACACAAACATCACAAAGCAGTTTCTGAGAATGCTTCTGTTTAGTTTTTCTGTGAAGATGAACCCGTTTCCAACGAAATCTTCACAGAGGTCCACATATCCACTTGCAGAATCCAAAGAAAGAGAGTTTCAAAACTGCTCCATCAGCAGGATTGTTCACCTCTGTGAGTTGAATGCAGTCATCACAGGAAACATTCTGAGAATGCTTCTGTCTAGGTTTGATGTGAAGATATACCCGTTTCGAAGGAAGGCCACAAAGTGGTCCAAATATCCACTTGCAGATTCTACAAAAAGAGTGTTTGAAAGCTGACCTATGAAAGCAAGGTTCAACTCTGTGAGTTGAATGCAAACATCACAAAGAAGTTTCTCACAATGCTTCCGTGTAGTTCTGGGAATTTTATCCCGTTTCCAACGAAATCCTCAGAGAGGTCCAAATATCCACTTGCAGATTCTACAGAAAGTGTGTTTGGAAACTGCGCCATCTAAAGGAATGTTCAGCTCTGTAAGTTCAATGCAATGATCACTAAGAATTGTCTGTGAATGCTTCCGTTTGGTTTTTAGATGAAGTTATTTCCTTTACTACAGTAGGCCTCAAAGCAGTCCAAATCTCCAATCGCAGATTCTACAAAAAGATTGTTTACAACCTGCTCTATCTATAGGAATGTTCAACTCTGTGAGTCGAATGCAATCATCACAAAGTAGTTTCTGAGAATGCTTCCATCTGGTTTTTATGTGAAGATTTTCCTTTTCCACCACAGGCCTCAAAGCCCTCCAAATGTCCACTTGCAGATTCTAGAATAAGAGGGTTTCAGAGCTGCTCTGTTAAGAGGAAAGTTCAATTCCTGAAGTGGAACACAAACATCACAAAGCAGTTTCTGAGAATGCTTCTGTTTAGTTTTTCTGTGAAGATGAACCCGTTTCCAACGAAATCTTCACAGAGGTCCACATATCCACTTGCAGAATCCAAAGAAAGAGAGTTTCAAAACTGCTCCATCAGCAGGATTGTTCACCTCTGTGAGTTGAATGCAGTCATCACAGGAAACATTCTGAGAATGCTTCTGTATAGGTTTGATGTGAAGATATACCCGTTTCGAAGGAAGGCCACAAAGTGGTCCAAATATCCACTTGCAGATTCTACAAAAAGAGTGTTTGAAAGCTGAACTATGAAAGCAAGGTTCAACTCTGTGAGTTGAGTGCAAACATCACAAAGAAGATTCTCACAATGCTTCCGTGTAGTTCTGGGAAGTTTATCCCGTTTCCAACGAAATCCTCAGAGAAGTCCAAATATCCACTTGCAGATTCTACAGAAAGTGTGTTTGGAAACTGCTCCATCTAAAGGAATGTTCAGCTCTGTTAGTTCAATCCAATGATCACTAAGAATTGTCTGTGAATGCTTCCGTTTGGTTTTTAGATGAAGTTATTTCCTTTACTACAGTAGGCCTCAAAGCAGTCCAAATCTCCAATCGCAGATTCTACAAAAAGATTGTTTACAACCTGCTCTATCTATAGGAATGTTCAACTCTGTGAGTCGAATGCAATCATCCCAAAGTAGTTTCTGAGAATGCTTCCATCTAGTTTTTATGTGAAGATTTTCCTTTTCCACCACAGGCCTCAAAGCCCTCCAAATGTCCACTTGCAGACTCTAGAAAAAGAGGGTTTCAGAGCTGCTCTGTCAAGAGGAAAGTTCAATTCTTGAAGTGGAACACAAACATCACAAAGCAGTTTCTGAGAATGCTCCTGTTTAGTTTTTCTGTGAAGATGAACCCGTTTCCAACGAAATCTTCACAGAGGTCCACATATCAACTTGCAGAATCCAAAGAAAGAGAGTTTCAAAACTGCTCCATCAGCAGGATTGTTCACCTCTGTGAGTTGAATGCAGTCATCACAGGAAACATTCTGAGAATGCTTCTGTCTAGGTTTGATGTGAAGATATACCCATTTCGAAGGAAGGCCACAAAGTGGTCCAAATATCCACTTGCAGATTCTACAAAAAGAGTGTTTGAAAGCTGAACTATGAAAGCAAGGTTCAACTCTGTGAGTTGAATGCAAACATCACAGAGAAGTTTCTCACAATGCTTCCGTGTAGTTCTGGGAAGTTTATCCCGTTTCCAACGAAATCCTCAGAGAGGTCCAAATATCCACTTGCAGATTCTACAGAAAGTGTGTTTGGAAACTGCGCCATCTAAAGGAATGTTCAGCTCTGTTAGTTCAATGCAATGATCACTAAGAATTGTCTGTGAATGCTTCCGTTTGGTTTTTAGATGAAGTTATTTCCTTTACTACAGTAGGCCTCAAAGCAGTCCAAATCTCCAATCGCAGATTCTACAAAAAGATTGTTTACAACCTGCTCTATCTATAGGAATGTTCAACTCTGTGAGTCGAATGCAATCATCACAAAGTAGTTTCTGAGAATGCTTCCATCTAGTTTTTATGTGAAGATTTTCCTTTTCCACCACAGGCCTCAAAGCCCTCCAAATGTCCACTTGCAGATTCTAGAATAAGAGGATTTCAGAGCTGCTCTGTCAAGAGGAAAGTTCAATTCCTGAAGTGGAACACAAACATCACAAAGCAGTTTCTGAGAATGCTTCTGTTTAGTTTTTCTGTGAAGATGAACCCGTTTCCAACGAAATCTTCACAGAGGTCCACATATCCACTTGCAGAATCCAAAGAAAGAGAGTTTCAAAACTGCTCCATCAGCAGCATTGTTCACCTCTGTGAGTTGAATGCAGTCATCACAGGAAACATTCTGAGAATGCTTCTGTCTAGGTTTGATGTGAAGATATACCCGTTTCGAAGGAAGGCCACAAAGTGGTCCAAATATCCACTTGCAGATTCTACAAAAGGAGTGTTTGAAAGCTGAACTATGAAAGCAAGGTTCAACTCTGTGAGTTGAATGCAAACATCACAAAGAAGTTTCTCACAATGCTTCCGTGTAGTTCTGGGAAGTTTATCCCGTTTCCAACGAAATCCTCAGAGAAGTCCAAATATCCACTTGCAGATTCTACAGAAAGTGGGTTTGGAAACTGCTCCATCTAAAGGAATGTTCAGCTCTGTTAGTTCAAACCAATGATCACTAAGTATTGTCTGTGAATGCTTCCGTTTGGTTTTTAGATGAAGTTATTTCCTTTACTACAGTAGGCCTCAAAGCAGTCCAAATCTCCAATCGCAGATTCTACAAAAAGATTGTTTACAACCTGCTCTATCTATAGGAATGTTCAACTCTGTGAGTCGAATGCAATCATCACAAAGTAGTTTCTGAGAATGCTTCCATCTAGTTTTTATGTGAAGATTTTCCTTTTCCACCACAGGCCTCAAAGCCCTCCAAATGTCCACTTGCAGATTCTAGAAAAAGAGGGTTTCAGATCTGCTCTTTCAAGAGAAAAGTTCAATTCCTGAAGTGGAACACAAACATCACAAAGCAGTTTCTGAGAATGCTTCTGTTTAGTTTTTCTGTGAAGATGAACCCGTTTCCAACGAAATCTTCACATAGGTCCACATATCAACTTGCAGAATCCAAAGAAAGAGAGTTTCAAAACTGCTCCATCAACAGGATTGTTCACCTCTGTGAGTTGAATGCAGTCATCACAGGAAACATTCTGAGAATGCTTCTGTCTAGGTTTGATGTGAAGATATACCCGTTTCGAAGGAAGGCCACAAAGTGGTCCAAATATCCACTTGCAGATTCTACAAAAAGAGTGTTTGAAAGCTGAACTATGAAAGCAAGGTTCAACTCTGTGAGTTGAATGCAAACATCACAAAGAAGTTTCTCACAATGCTTCCGTGTAGTTCTGGGAAGTTTATCCCGTTTCCAACGAAATCCTCAGAGAGGTCCAAATATCCACTTGCAGATTCTACAGAAAGTGTGTTTGGAAACTGCGCCATCTAAAGGAATGTTCAGCTCTGTTAGTTCAATGCAATGATCACTAAGAATTGTCTGTGAATGCTTCCATTTTGGTTTTTAGATGAAGTTATTTCCTTTACTACAGTAGGCCTCAAAGCAGTCCAAATCTCCAATCGCAGATTCTACAAAAAGATTGTTTACAACCTGCTCTATCTATAGGAATGTTCAACTCTGTGAGTCGAATGCAATCATCACAAAGTAGTTTCTGAGAATGCTTCCATCTAGTTTTTATGGGAAGATTTTCCTTTTCCACCACAGGCCTCAAAGCCCTCCAAATGTCCACTTGCAGATTCTAGAAAAAGAGGGTTTCAGAGCTGCTCTGTCAAGAGGAAAGTTCAATTCTTGAAGTGGAACACAAACATCACAAAGCAGTTTCTGAGAATGCTCCTGTTTAGTTTTTCTGTGAAGATGAACCCGTTTCCAACGAAATCTTCACAGAGGTCCACATATCCACTTGCAGAATCCAAAGAAAGAGAGTTTCAAAACTGCTCCATCAGCAGGATTGTTCACCTCTGTGAGTTGAATGCAGTCATCACAGGAAACATTCTGAGAATGCTTCTGTCTAGGTTTGATGTGAAGATATACCCGTTTCGAAGGAAGGCCACAAAGTGGTCCAAATATCCACTTGCAGATTCTACAAAAAGAGTGTTTGAAAGCTGAACTATGAAAGCAAGGTTCAACTCTGTGAGTTGAATGCAAACATCACAAAGAAGTTTCTCACAATGCTTCCGTGTAGTTCTGGGAAGTTTATCCCGTTTCCAACGAAATCCTCAGAGAGGTCCAAATATCCACTTGCAGATTCTACATAAAGTGTGTTTGTAAACTGCTCCATCTAAAGGAATGTTCAGCTCTGTTAGTTCAATCCAATGATCACTAAGAATTGTCTGTGAATGCTTCCGTTTGGTTTTTAGATGAAGTTATTTCCTTTACTACAGTAGGCCTCAAAGCAGTCCAAATCTCCAATCGCAGATTCTACAAAAAGTTTGTTTACATCCTGCTCTATCTATAGGAATGTTCAACTCTGTGAGTCGAATGCAATCATCACAAAGTAGTTTCTGAGAATGCTTCCATCTAGTTTTATGTGAAGATTTTCCTTTTCCACCACAGGCCTCAAAGCCCTCCAAATGTCCACTTGCAGATTCTAGAAAAAGAGGGTTTCAGAGCTGCTCTGTCAAGAGGAAAGTTCAATTCTTGAAGTGGAACACAAACATCACAAAGCAGTTTCTGAGAATGCTTCTGTTTAGTTTTTCTGTGAAGATGAACCCGTTTCCAACGAAATCTTCAAAGAGGTCCACATATCCACTTGCAGAATCCAAAGAAAGAGAGTTTCAAAACTGCTCCATCAACAGGATTGTTCACCTCTGTGAGTTGAATGCAGTCATCACAGGAAACATTCTGAGAATGCTTCTGTCTAGGTTTGATGTGAAGATATACCCGTTTCGAAGGAAGGCCACAAAGTGGTCCAAATATCCACTTGCAGATTCTACAAAAAGAGTGTTTGAAAGCTGAACTATGAAAGCAAGGTTCAACTCTGTGAGTTGAATGCAAATATCACAAAGAAGTTTCTCACAATGCTTCCGTGTAGTTCTGGGAAGTTTATCCCGTTTCCAACGAAATCCTCAGAGAAGTCCAAATATCCACTTGCAGATTCTACAGAAAGTGTGTTTGGAAACTGCTCCATCTAAAGGAATGTTCAGCTCTGTCAGTTCAATGCAATGATCACTAAGAATTGTCTGTGAATGCTTCCGTTTGGTTTTTAGATGAAGTTATTTCCTTTACTACAGTAGGCCTCAAAGCAGTCCAAATCTCCAATCGCAGATTCTACAAAAAGATTGTTTACAACCTGCTCTATCTATAGGAATGTTCAACTCTGTGAGTCGAATGCAATCATCACAAAGTAGTTTCTGAGAATGCTTCCATCTAGTTTTTATGTGAAGATTTTCCTTTTCCACCACAGGCCTCAAAGCCCTCCAAATGTCCACTTGCAGATTCTAGAAAAAGAGGGTATCAGAGCTGCTCTGTCAAGACGAAAGTTCAATTCTTGAACTGGAACACAAACATCACAAAGCAGTTTCTGAGAATGCTCCTGTTTAGTTTTTCTGTGAAGATGAACCCGTTTCCAACGAAATCTTCACAGAGGTCCACATATCCACTTGCAGAATCCAAAGAAAGAGAGTTTCAAAACTGCTCCATCAGCAGGATTGTTCACCTCTGTGAGTTGAATGCAGTCATCACAGGAAACATTCTGAGAATGCTTCTGTCTAGGTTTGATGTGAAGATATACCCGTTTCGAAGGAAGGCCACAAAGTGGTCCAAATATCCACTTGCAGATTCTACAAAAAGAGTGTTTGAAAGCTGAACTATGAAAGCAAGTTTCAACTCTGTGAGTTGAATGCAAACATCACAAAGAAGTTTCTCAGAATGCTTCCGTGTAGTTCTGGGAAGTTTATCCCGTTTCCAACGAAATCCTCAGAGAAGTCCAAATATCCACTTGCAGATTCTACAGAAATTGTGTTTGGAAACTGCGCCATCTAAACTAATGTTCAGCTCTGTTAGTTCAATCCAATGATCACTAAGAATTGTCTTTGAATACCTCCGTTTGGTTTTTAGATGAAGTTATTTCCTTTACTACAGTAGGCCTCAAAGCAGTCCAAATCTCCAATCGCAGATTCTACAAAAGATTGTTTACAACCTGCTCTATCTATAGGAATGTTCAACTCTGTGAGTCGAATGCAATCATCACAAAGTAGTTTCTGAGAATGCTTCCATCTAGTTTTTATGTGAAGATTTTCCTTTTCCACCACAGGCCTCAAAGCCCTCCAAATGTCCACTTGCAGATTCTAGAAAAAGAGGGTTTCAGAGCTGCTCTGTCAAGAGGAAAGTTCAATTCTTGAAGTGGAACACAAACATCACAAAGCAATTTCTGAGAATGCTTCTGTTTAGTTTTTCTGTGAAGATGAACCCGTTTCCAACGAAATCTTCACAGAGGTCCACATATCCACTTGCAGAATCCAAAGAAAGAGAGTTTCAAAACTGCTCCATCAGCAGGATTGTTCACCTCTGTGAGTTGAATGCAGTCATCACAGGAAACATTCTGAGAATGCTTCTGTCTAGGTTTGATGTGAAGATATACCCGTTTCGAAGGAAGGCCACAAAGTGGTCCAAATATCCACTTGCAGATTCTACAAAAAGAGTGTTTGAAAGCTGAACTATGAAAGCAAGGTTCAACTCTGTGAGTTGAATGCAAACATCACAAAGAAGTTTCTCAGAATGCTTCCGTGTAGTTCTGGGAAGTTTATCCCGTTTCCAACGAAATCCTCAGAGAGGTCCAAATATCCACTTGCAGATTCTACAGAAAGTGTGTTTGGAAACTGCGCCATCTAAAGGAATGTTCAGCTGCTGTTAGTTCAATCCAATGATCACTAAGAATTGTCTGTGAATGCTTCCGTTTGGTTTTTAGATGAAGTTATTGCCTTTACTACAGTAGGCCTCAAAGCAGTCCAAATCTGCAATCGCAGATTCTACAAAAAGTATGTTTACAACCTGCTCTATCTATAGGAATGTTCAACTCTGTGAGTCGAATGCAATCATCACAAAGTAGTTTCTGAGAATGCTTTCCATCTAGTTTTTATGTGAAGATTTTCCTTTTCCACCACAGGCCTCAAAGCCCTCCAAATGTCCACTTGCAGATTCTAGAAAAAGAGGGTTTCAGAGCTGCTCTGTCAAGAGGAAAGTTCAATTCTTGAAGTGGAACACAAACATCACAAAGCAGTTTCTGAGAATGTTTCTGTTTAGTTTTTCTGTGAAGATGAACCCGTTTCCAACGAAATCTTCACAGAGGTCCACATATCCACTTGCAGAATCCAAAGAAAGAGAGTTTCAAAACTGCTCCATCAGCAGGATTGTTCACCTCTGTGAGTTGAATGCAGTCATCACAGGAAACATTCTGAGAATGCTTCTGTCTAGGTTTGATGTGAAGATATACCCGTTTCGAAGGAAGGCCACAAAGTGGTCCAAATATCCACTTGCAGATCCTACAAAAAGAGTGTTTGAAAGCTGAACTATGAAAGCAAGGTTCAACTCTGTGAGTTGAATGCAAACATCACAAAGAAGTTTCTCAGAATGCTTTCCGTGTAGTTCTGGGAAGTTTATCCCGTTTCCAACGAAATCCTCAGAGAGGTCCAAATATCCACTTGCAGATTCTACAGAAAGTGTGTTTGGAATCTGCTCCATCTAAAGGAATGTTCAGCTCTGTTAGTTCAATCCAATGATCACTAAGAATTGTCTGTGAATGCTTCCGTTTGGTTTTTAGATGAAGTTATTTCCTTTACTACAGTAGGCCTCAAAGCAGTCCAAATCTCCAATCGCAGATTCTACAAAAAGATTGTTTACAACCTGCTCTATCTATAGGAATGTTCAACTCTGTGAGTCGAATGCAATCATCACAAAGTAGTTTCTGAGAATGCTTCCATCTAGTTTTTATGTGAAGATTTTCCTTTTCCACCACAGGCCTCAAAGCCCTCCAAATGTCCACTTGCAGATTCTAGAAAAAGAGGGTTTCAGAGCTGCTCTGTCAAGAGGAAAGTTCAATTCTTGAAGTGGAACACAAACATCACAAAGCAGTTTCTGAGAATGCTTCTGTTTAGTTTTTCTGTGAAGATGAACCCGTTTCCAACGAAATCTTCACAGAGGTCCACATATCAACTTACAGAATCCAAAGAAAGAGAGTTTCAAAACTGCTCCATCAACAGGATTGTTCACCTCTGTGAGTTGAATGCAGTCATCACAGGAAACATTCTGAGAATGCTTCTGTCTAGGTTTGATGTGAAGATATACCCGTTTCGAAGGAAGGCCACAAAGTGGTCCAAATATCCACTTGCAGATTCTACAAAAAGAGTGTTTGAAAGCTGAACTATGAAAGCAAGGTTCAACTCTGTGAGTTGAATGCAAACATCACAAAGAAGTTTCTCAGAATGCTTCCGTGTAGTTCTGGGAAGTTTATCCCCTTTCCAACGAAATCCTCAGAGAGGTCCAAATATCCACTTGCAGATTCTACAGAAAGTGTGTTTGGAAACTGCGCCATCTAAAGGAATGTTCAGCTCTGTTAGTTCAATCCAATGATCACTAAGAATTGTCTGTGAATGCTTCCGTTTGGTTTTTAGATGAAGTTATTTCCTTTACTACAGTAGGCCTCAAAGCAGTCCAAATCTCCAATCGCAGATTCTACAAAAAGATTGTTTACAACCTGCTCTATCTATAGGAATGTTCAACTCTGTGAGTCGAATGCAATCATCACAAAGTAGTTTCTGAGAATGCTTCCATCTAGTTTTTATGTGAAGATTTTCCTTTTCCACCACAGGCCTCAAAGCCCTCCAAATGTCCACTTGCAGATTCTAGAATAAGAGGGTTTCAGAGCTGCTCTGTCAAGAGGAAAGTTCAATTCCTGAAGTGGAACACAAACATCACAAAGCAGTTTCTGAGAATGCTCCTGTTTAGTTTTTCTGTGAAGATGAACCCGTTTCCAACGAAATCTTCACAGAGGTCCACATATCCACTTGCAGAATCCAAAGAAAGAGAGTTTCAAAACTGCTCCATCAGCAGGATTGTTCACCTCTGTGAGTTGAATGCAGTCATCACAGGAAACATTCTGAGAATGCTTCTGTCTAGGTTTGATGTGAAGATATACCCGTTTCGAAGGAAGGCCACAAAGTGGTCCAAATATCCACTTGCAGATTCTACAAAAAGAGTGTTTGAAAGCTGAACTATGAAAGCAAGGTTCAACTCTGTGAGTTGAATGCAAACATCACAAAGAAGTTTCTCAGAATGCTTCCGTGTAGTTGTGGGAAGTTTATCCCATTTCCAACGAAATCCTCAGAGAGGTCCAAATATCCAGTGGCAGATTCTACAGAAAGTGTGTTTGGAAACTGCGCCATCTAAAGGAATGTTCAGCTCTGTTAGTTCAATCCAATGATCACTAAGAATTGTCTGTGAATGCTTCCGTTTGGTTTTTAGATGAAGTTATTTCCTTTACTACAGTAGGCCTCAAAGCAGTCCAAATCTCCAATCGCAGATTCTACAAAAAGATTGTTTACAACCTGCTCTATCTATAGGAATGTTCAACTCTGTGAGTCGAATGCAATCATCACAAAGTAGTTTCTGAGAATGCTTCCATCTAGTTTTTATGTGAAGATTTTCCTTTTCCACCACAGGCCTCAAAGCCCTCCAAATATCCACTTGCAGATTCTAGAATAAGAGGGTTGCAGAGCTGCTCTGTCAAGAGGAAAGTTCAATTCCTGAAGTGGAACACAAACATCACAAAGCAGTTTCTGAGAATGCTTCTGTTTAGTTTTTCTGTGAAGATGAACCCGTTTCCAACGAAATCTTCACAGAGGTCCACATATCAACTTGCAGAATCCAAAGAAAGAGAGTTTCAAAACTGCTCCATCAACAGGATTGTTCACCTCTGTGAGTTGAATGCAGTCATCACAGGAAACATTCTGAGAATGCTTCTGTCTAGGTTTGATGTGAAGATATACCCGTTTCGAAGGAAGGCCACAAAGTGGTCCAAATATCCACTTGCAGATTCTACAAAAAGAGTGTTTGAAAGCTGACCTATGAAAGCAAGGTTCAACTCTGTGAGTTGAATGCAAACATCACAAAGAAGTTTCTCACAATACTTCCGTGTAGTTCTGGGAATTTTATCCCGTTTCCAACGAAATCCTCAGAGAGGTCCAAATATCCACTTGCAGATTCTACAGAAAGTGTGTTTGGAAACTGCGCCATCTAAAGGAATGTTCAGCTCTGTTAGTTCAATGCAATGATCACTAAGAATTGTCTGTGAATGCTTCCGTTTGGTTTTTAGATGAAGTTATTTCCTTTACTACCGTAGGCCTCAAAGCAGTCCAAATCTCCAATCGCAGATTCTACAAAAAGATTGTTTACAACCTGCTCTATCTATAGGAATTTTCAACTCTGTGAGTCGAATGCAATCATCACAAAGTAGTTTCTGAGAATGCTTCCATCTAGTTATTATGTGAAGATTTTCCTTTTCCACCACAGGCCTCAAAGCCCTCCAAATGTCCACTTGCAGATTCTAGAATAAGAGGGTTTCAGAGCTGCTCTGTCAAGAGGAAAGTTCAATTCCTGAAGTGGAACACAAACATCACAAAGCAGTTTCTGAGAATGCTTCTGTTTAGTTTTTCTGTGAAGATGAACCCGTTTCCAACGAAATCTTCACAGAGGTCCACATATCCACTTGCAGAATCCAAAGAAGGAGAGTTTCAAAACTGCTCCATCAGCAGGATTGTTCACCTCTGTGAGTTGAATGCAGTCATCACAGGAAACATTCTGAGAATGCTTCTGTCTAGGTTTGATGTGAAGATATACCCGTTTCGAAGGAAGGCCACAAAGTGGTCCAAATATCCACTTGCAGATTCTACAAAAAGAGTGTTTGAAAGCTGAACTATGAAAGCAAGGTTCAACTCTGTGAGTTGAATGCAAACATCACAAAGAAGTTTCTCAGAATGCTTCCGTGTAGTTCTGGGAAGTTTATCCCGTTTCCAACGAAATCCCCAGAGAGGTCCAAATATCCACTTGCAGATTCTACAGAAAGTGTGTTTGGAAACTGCGCCATCTAAAGGAATGTTCAGCTCTGTTAGTTCAATGCAATGATCACTAAGAATTGTCTGTGAATGATTCCGTTTGGTTTTTAGATGAAGTTATTTCCTTTACTACAGTAGGCCTCAAAGCAGTCCAAATCTCCAATCGCAGATTCTACAAAAAGATTGTTTACAACCTGCTCTATCTATAGGAATGTTCAACTCTGTGAGTCGAATGCAATCATCACAAAGTAGTTTCTGAGAATGCTTCCATCTAGTTTTTAAGTGAAGATTTTCCTTTTCCACCAAAGGCCTCAAAGCTCTCCAAATGTCCACTTGCAGACTCTAGAAAAAGAGGGTTTCAGAGCTGCTCTGTCAAGAGGAAAGTTCAATTCTTGAAGTGGAACACAAACATCACAAAGCAGTTTCTGAGAATGCTTCTGTTTAGTTTTTCTGTGAAGATGAACCCGTTTCCAACGAAATCTTCACAGAGGTCCACATATCCACTTGCAGAATCCAAAGAAAGAGAGTTTCAAAACTGCTCCATCAGCAGGATTGTTCACCTCTGTGAGTTGAATGCAGTCATCACAGGAAACATTCTGAGAATGCTTCTGTCTAGGTTTGATGTGAAGATATACCCGTTTCGAAGGAAGGCCACAAAGTGGTCCAAATATCCACTTGCAGATTCTACAAAAAGAGTGTTTGAAAGCTGAACTATGAAAGCAAGGTTCAACTCTGTGAGTTGAATGCAAACATCACAAAGAAGTTTCTCAGAATGCTTCCGTGTAGTTCTGGGAAGTTTATCCCGTTTCCAACGATATCCTCAGAGAGGTCCACATATCCACTTGCAGATTCTACAGAAAGTGTGTTTGGAAACTGCGCCATCTAAAGGAATGTTCAGCTCTGTTAGTTCAATGCAATGATCACTAAGAATTGTCTGTGAATGCTTCCGTTTGGTTTTTAGATGAAGTTATTTCCTTTACTACAGTAGGCCTCAAAGCAGTCCAAATCTCCAATCGCAGATTCTACAAAAAGATTGTTTACAACCTGCTCTATCTATAGGAATGTTCAACTCTGTGAGTCGAATGCAATCATCACAAAGTAGTTTCTGAGAATGCTTCCATCTAGTTTTTATGTGAAGATTTTCCTTTTCCACCACAGGCCTCAAAGCCCTCCAAATGTCCACTTGCAGATTCTAGAATAAGAGGGTTTCAGAGCTGCTCTGTCAAGAGGAAAGTTCAATTCCTGAAGTGGAACACAATCGTCACAAAGCAGTTTCTGAGAATGCTTCTGTTTAGTTTTCCTGTGAAGATGAACCCGTTTCCAACGAAATCTTCACAGAGGTCCACATATCCACTTGCAGAATCCAAAGAAAGAGAGTTTCAAAACTGCTCCATCAGCAGGATTGTTCACCTCTGTGAGTTGAATGCAGTCATCACAGGAAACATTCTGAGAATGCTTCTGTCTAGGTTTGATGTGAAGATATACCCGTTTCGAAGGAAGGCCACAAAGTGGTCCAAATATCCACTTGCAGATTCTACAAAAAGAGTGTTTGAAAGCTGAACTATGAAAGCAAGGTTCAACTCTGTGAGTTGAATGCAAACATCACAAAGAAGTTTCTCAGAATGCTTCCGTGTAGTTCTGGGAAGTTTATCCCGTTTCCAACGAAATCCTCAGAGAAGTCCAAATATCCACTTGCAGATTCTACAGAAAGTGTGTTTGGAAAATGCTCCATCTAAAGGAATGTTCAGCTCTGTTAGTTCAATCCAATGATCACTAAGAATTGTCTGTGAATGCTTCCGTTTGGTTTTTAGATGAAGTTATTTCCTTTACTACAGTAGGCCTCAAAGCAGTCCAAATCTCCAATCGCAGATTCTACAAAAAGATTGTTTACAACCTGCTCTATCTATAGGAATGTTCAACTCTGTGAGTCGAATGCAATCATCACAAAGTAGTTTCTGAGAATGCTTCCATCTAGTTTTTATGTGAAGATTTTCCTTTTCCACCACAGGCCTCAAAGCCCTCCAAATGTCCACTTGCAGATTCTAGAAAAAGAGGGTTTCAGAGCTGCTCTGTCAAGAGGAAAGTTCAATTCTTGAAGTGGAACACAAACATCACAAAGCAGTTTCTGAGAATGCTCCTGTTTAGTTTTTCTGTGAAGATGAACCCGTTTCCAACGAAATCTTCACAGAGGTCCACATATCCACTTGCAGAATCCAAAGAAAGAGAGTTTCAAAACTGCTCCAACAGCAGGATTGTTCACCTCTGTGAGTTGAATGCAGTCATCACAGGAAACATTCTGAGAATGCTTCTGTCTAGGTTTGATGTGAAGATATACCCGTTTCGAAGGAAGGCCACAAAGTGGTCCAAATATCCACTTGCAGATTCTACAAAAAGAGTGTTTGAAAGCTGAACTATGAAAGCAAGGTTCAACTCTGTGAGTTGAATGCAAACATCACAAAGAAGTTTCTCACAATGCTTCCGTGTAGTTCTGGGAAGTTTATCCCGTTTCCAACGAAATCCTCAGAGAAGTCCAAATATCCACTTGCAGATTCTACAGAAAGTGTGTTTGGAAACTGCGCCATCTAAAGGAATGTTCAGCTCTGTTAGTTCAATCCAATGATCACTAAGAATTGTCTGTGAATGCTTCCGTTTGGTTTTTAGATGAAGTTATTTCCTTTACTACAGTAGGCCTCAAAGCAGTCCAAATCTCCAATCGCAGATTCTACAAAAAGATTGTTTACAACCTGCTCTATGTATAGGAATGTTCAACTCTGTGAGTCGAATGCAATCATCACAAAGTAGTTTCTGAGAATGCTTCCATCTAGTTTTTATGTGAAGATTTTCCTTTTCCACCACAGGCCTCAAAGCCCTCCAAATGTCCACTTGCAGATTCTAGAATAAGAGGGTTTTAGAGCTGCTCTGTCAAGAGGAAAGTTCAATTCCTGAAGTGGAACACAAACATCACAAAGCAGTTTCTGAGAATGCTTCTGTTTAGTTTTTCTGTGAAGATGAACCCGTTTCCAACGAAATCTTCACAGAGGTCCACATATCCACTTGCAGAATCCAAAGAAAGAGAGTTTCAAAACTGCTCCATCAACAGGATTGTTCACCTCTGTGAGTTGAATGCAGTCATCACAGGAAACATTCTGAGAATGCTTCTGTCTAGGTTTGATGTGAAGATATACCCGTTTCGAAGGAAGGCCAGAAAGTGGTCCAAATATCCACTTGCAGATTCTACAAAAAGAGTGTTTGAAAGCTGAACTATGAAAGCAAGGTTCAACTCTGTGAGTTGAATGCAAACATCACAAAGAAGTTTCTCAGAATGCTTCCCTGTAGTTCTGGGAAGTTTATCCCGTTTCCAACGAAATCCTCAGAGAAGTCCAAATATCCACTTGCAGATTCTACAGAAAGTGGGTTTGGAAACTGCTCCATCTAAAGGAATGTTCAGCTCTGTTAGTTCAATCCAATGATCACTAAGAATTGTCTGTGAATGCTTCCGTTTGGTTTTTAGATGAAGTTATTTCCTTTACTACAGTAGGCCTCAAAGCAGTCCAAATCTCCAATCGCAGATTCTACAAAAAGATTGTTTACAACCTGCTCTATCTATAGGAATGTTCAACTCTGTGAGTCGAATGCAATCATCACAAAGTAGTTTCTGAGAATGCTTCCATCTAGTTTTTATGTGAAGATTTTCCTTTTCCACCACAGGCCTCAAAGCCCTCCAAATGTCCACTTGCAGATTCTAGAAAAAGAGGGTTTCAGAGCTGCTCTGTCAAGAGGAAAGTTCAATTCTTGAAGTGGAACACAAACATCACAAAGTAGTTTCTGAGAATGCTTCTGTTTAGTTTTTCTGTGAAGATGAACCCGTTTCCAACGAAATCTTCTCAGAGGTCCACATATCAACTTGCAGAATCCAAAGAAAGAGAGTTTCAAAAGTGCCCCATCAACAGGATTGTTCACCTCTGTGAGTTGAATGCAGTCATCACAGGAAACATTCTGAGAATGCTTCTGTCTAGGTTTGATGTGAAGATATACCCGTTTCGAAGGAAGGCCACAAAGTGGTCCAAATATCCACTTGCAGATTCTACAAAAAGAGTGTTTGAAAGCTGAACTATGAAAGCAAGGTTCAACTCTGTGAGTTGAATGCAAACATCACAAAGAAGTTTCTCAGAATGCTTCCGTGTAGTTCTGGGAAGTTTATCCCGTTTCCAACGAAATCCTCAGAGAAGTCCAAGTATCCACTTGCAGATTCTACAGAAAGTGTGTTTGGAAACTGCTCCATCTAAAGGAATGTTCAGCTCTGTTAGTTCAATCCAATGATCACTAAGTATTGTCTGTGAATGCTTCCGTTTGGTTTTTAGATGAAGTTATTTCCTTTACTACAGTAGGCCTCAAAGCAGTCCAAATCTCCAATCGCAGATTCTACAAAAAGATTGTTTACAACCTGCTCTATCTATAGGAATGTTCAACTCTGTGAGTCGAATGCAATCATCACAAAGTAGTTTCTGAGAATGCTTCCATCTAGTTTTTATGTGAAGATTTTCCTTTTCCACCACAGGCCTCAAAGCCCTCCAAATGTCCACTTGCAGATTCTAGAAAAAGAGGGTTTCAGAGCTGCTCTGTCAAGAGGAAAGTTCAATTCCTGAAGTGGAACACAAACATCACTAAGCAGTTTCTGAGAATGCTTCTGTTTAGTTTTTCTGTGAAGATGAACCCGTTTCCAACGAAATCTTCACAGAGGTCCACATATCCACTTGCAGAATCCAAAGAAAGAGAGTTTCAAAACTGCTCCATCAGCAGGATTGTTCACCTCTGTGAGTTGAATGCAGTCATCACAGGAAACATTCTGAGAATGCTTCTGTCTAGGTTTGATGTGAAGATATACCCTTTTCAAAGGAAGGCCACAAAGTGGTCCAAATATCCACTTGCAGATTCTACAAAAAGAGTGTTTGAAAGCTGAACTATGAAAGCAAGGTTCAACTCTGTGAGTTGAATGCAAACATCACAAAGAAGTTTCTCACAATGCTTCCCGTGTAGTTCTGGGAAGTTTATCCCGTTTCCAACGAAATCCTCAGAGAAGTCCAAATATCCACTTGCAGATTCTACAGAAAGTGGGTTTGGAAACTGCTCCATCTAAAGGAATGTTCAGCTCTGTTAGTTCAATCCAATGATCACTAAGAATTGTCTGTGAATGCTTCCGTTTGGTTTTTAGATGAAGTAATTTCCTTTACTACAGTAGGCCTCAAAGCAGTCCAAATCTCCAATCGCAGATTCTACAAAAAGATTGTTTACAACCTGCTCTATCTATAGGAATGTTCAACTCTGTGAGTCGAATGCAATCATCACAAAGAAGTTTCTGAGAATGCTTCCATAAAGTTTTTATGTGAAGATTTTCCTTTTCCACCACAGGCCTCAAAACCCTCCAAATGTCCACTTGCAGATTCTAGAAAAAGAGGGTTTCAGAGCTGCTCTGTCAAGAGGAAAGTTCAGTTCTTTAAGTGGAACACAAACATCACAAAGCAGTTTCTGAGAATACTCCTGTTTAGTTTTTCTATGAAGATGAACCCGTTTCCAACGAAATCTTCACAGAGGTCCACATATCCACTTGCAGAATCCAAAGAAAGAGAGTTTCAAACTGCTCCATCAGCAGGATTGTTCACCTCTGTGAGTTGAATGCAGTCATCACAGGAAACATTCTGAGAATGCTTCTGTCTAGGTTTGATGTGAAGATATACCCGTTTCGAAGGAAGGCCACAAAGTGGTCCAAATATCCACTTGCAGATTCTACCAAAAGAGTGTTTGAAAGCTGAACTATGAAAGCAAGGTTCAACTCTGTGAGTTGAATGCAAACATCACAAAGAAGTTTCTCACAATGCTTCCGTGTAGTTCTGGGAAGTTTATCCCGTTTCCAACGAAATCCTCAGAGAGGTCCAAATATCCACTTGCAGATTCTACAGAAAGTGTGTTTGGAAACTGCGCCATCTAAAGGAATGTTCAGCTCTGTTAGTTCAATGCAATGATCACTAAGAATTGTCTGTGAATGCTTCCGTTTGGTTTTTAGATGAAGTTATTTCCTTTACTACAGTAGGCCTCAAAGCAGTCCAAATCTCCAATCGCAGATTCTACAAAAAGATTGTTTACAACCTGCTCTATCTATAGGAATGTTCAACTCTGTGAGTCGAATGCAATCATCACAAAGTAGTTTCTGAGAATGCTTCCATCTAGTTTTTATGTGAAGATTTTCCTTTTCCACCACAGGCCTCAAAGCCCTCCAAATGTCCACTTGCAGATTCTAGAATAAGAGGGTTTCAGAGCTGCTCTGTCAAGAGGAAAGTTCAATTCTTGAAGTGGAACACAAACATCACAAAGCAGTTTCTGAGAATGCTTCTGTTTAGTTTTTCTGTGAAGATGAACCCGTTTCCAACGAAATCTTCACAGAGGTCCACATATCCACTTGCAGAATCCAAAGAAAGAGAGTTTCAAAACTGCTCCATCAGCAGGATTGTTCACCTCTGTGAGTTGAATGCAGTCATCACAGGAAACATTCTGAGAATGCTTCTGTCTAGGTTTGATGTGAAGATATACCCGTTTCGAAGGAAGGCCACAAAGTGGTCCAAATATCCACTTGCAGATTCTACAAAAAGAGTGTTTGAAAGCTGAACTATGAAAGCAAGGTTCAACTCTATGAGTTGAATGGAAACATCACAAAGAAGTTTCTCAGAATGCTTCCGTGTAGTTCTGGGAAGTTTATCCCGTTTCCAACGAAATCCACAGAGAGGTCCAAATATCCACTTGCAGATTCTACAGAAAGTGTGTTTGGAAACTGCGCCATCTAAAGGAATGTTCAGCTCTGTTAGTTCAATGCAATGATCACTAAGAATTGTCTGTGAATGCTTCCGTTTGGTTTTTAGATGAAGTTATTTCCTTTACTACAGTAGGCCTCAAAGCAGTCCAAATCTCCAATCGCAGATTCTACAAAAAGATTGTTTACAACCTGCTCTATCTATAGGAATGTTCAACTCTGTGAGTCGAATGCAATCATCACAAAGTAGTTTCTGAGAATGCTTCCATCTAGTTTTTATGTGAAGATTTTCCTTTTCCACCACAGGCCTCAAAGCCCTCCAAATGTCCACTTGCAGATTCTAGAAAAAGAGGGTTTCAGAGCTGCTCTGTCAAGAGGAAAGTTCAATTCTTGAAGTGGAACACAAACATCACAAAGCAGTTTCTGAGAATGCTTCTGTTTAGTTTTTCTGTGAAGATGAACCCGTTTCCAACGAAATCTTCACAGAGGTCCACATATCAACTTGCAGAATCCAAAGAAAGAGAGTTTCAAAAGTGCTTCATCAACAGGATTGTTCACCTCTGTGAGTTGAATGCAGTCATCACAGGAAACATTCTGAGAATGCTTCTGTCTAGGTTTGATGTGAAGATATACCCGTTTCGAAGGAAGGCCACAAAGTGGTCCAAATATCCACTTGCAGATTCTACAAAAAGAGTGTTTGAAAGCTGAACTATGAAAGCAAGGTTCAACTCTGTGAGTTGAATGCAAACATCACAAAGAATTTTCTCACAATGCTTCCGTGTAGTTCTGGGAAGTTTATCCCGTTTCCAACGAAATCCTCAGAGAGGTCCAAATATCCACTTGCAGATTCTACAGAAAGTGTGTTTGGAAACTGCGCCATCTAAAGGAATGTTCAGCTCTGTTAGTTCAATCCAATGATCACTAAGAATTGTCTGTGAATGCTTCCGTTTGGTTTTTAGATGAAGATATTTCCTTTACTGCAGTAGGCCTCAAAGCAGTCCAAATCTCCAATCGCAGATTCTACAAAAAGATTGTTTACAACCTGCTCTATCTATAGGAATGTTCAACTCTGTGAGTCGAATGCAATCATCACAAAGTAGTTTCTGAGAATGCTCTCCATCTAGTTTTTATGTGAAGATTTTCCTTTTCCACCACAGGCCTCAAAGCCCTCCAAATGTCCACGTGCAGATTCTAGAAAAGGAGGGTTTCAGAGCTGCTCTGTCAAGAGGAAAGTTCAATTCCTGAAGTGGAACACAAACATCACAAAGCAGTTTCTGAGAATGCTTCTGTTGAGTTTTTCTGTGAAGATGAACCCGTTTCCAACGAAATCTTCACAGAGGTCCACATATCCACTTGCAGAATCCAAAGAAAGAGAGTTTCAAAACTGCTCCATCAACAGGATTGTTCACCTCTGTGAGTTGAATGCAGTCATCACAGGAAACATTCTGAGAATGCTTCTGTCAATGTTTGATGTGAAGATATACCCGTTTCGAAGGAAGGCCACAAAGTGGTCCAAATATCCACTTGCAGATTCTACAAAAAGAGTGTTTGAAAGCTGAACTATGAAAGCAAGGTTCAACTCTGTGAGTTGAATGCAAACATCACAAAGAAGTTTCTCACAATGCTTCCGTGTAGTTCTGGGAAGCATATCCCGTTTCCAACGAAATCCTCAGAGAAGTCCAAATATCCACTTGCAGATTCTACAGAAAGTGGGTTTGGAAACTGCTCCATCTAAAGGAATGTTCAGCTCTGTTAGTTCAATCCAATGATCACTAAGAATTTTCTGTGAATGCTTCCGTTTGGTTTTTAGATGAAGTTATTTCCTTTACTACAGTAGGCCTCAAAGCAGTCCAAATCTCCAATCGCAGATTCTACAAAAAGATTGTTTACAACCTGCTCTATCTATAGGAATGTTCAACTATGTGAGTCGAATGCAATCATCACAAAGTAGTTTCTGAGAATGCTTCCATCTAGTTTTTATGTGAAGATTTTCCTTTTCCACCACAGGCCTCAAAGCCCTCCAAATGTCCACTTGCAGATTCTAGAATAAGAGGGTTTCAGAGCTGCTCTGTCAAGAGGAAAGTTCAATTCCTGAAGTGGAACACAAACATCACAAAGCAGTTTCTGAGAATACTCCTGTTTAGTTTTTCTGTGAAGATGAACCCGTTTCCAACGAAATCTTCACAGAGGTCCACATATCCACTTGCAGAATCCAAAGAAAGAGAGTTTCAAAACTGCTCCATCAGAAGGATTGTTCACCTCTGTGAGTTGAATGCAGTCATCACAGGAAACATTCTGAGAATGCTTCTGTCTAGGTTTGATGTGAAGATATACCCGTTTCGAAGGAAGGCCACAAAGTGGTCCAAATATCCACTTGCAGATTCTACAAAAAGAGTGTTTGAAAGCTGAACTATGAAAGCAAGGTTCAACTCTGTGAGTTGAATGCAAACATCACAAAGAAGTTTCTCAGCATGCTTCCGTGTAGTTCTGGGAAGTTTATCCCGTTTCCAACGAAATCCTCAGAGAGGTCCAAATATCCACTTGCAGATTCTACAGAAAGTGTGTTTGGAAACTGCGCCATCTAAAGGAATGTTCAGCTCTGTTAGTTCAATGCAATGATCACTAAGAATTGTCTGTGAATGCTTCCGTTTGGTTTTTAGATGAAGTTATTTAATTTACTACAGTAGGCCTCAAAGCAGTCCAAATCTCCAATCGCAGATTCTACAAAAAGATTGTTTACAACCTGCTCTATCTATAGGAATGTTCAACTCTGTGAGTCGAATGCAATCATCACAAAGTAGTTTCTGAGAATGCTTCCATCTAGTTTTTATGGGAAGATTTTCCTTTTCCACCACAGGCCTCAAAGCCCTCCAAATGTCCACTTGCAGATTCTAGAAAAAGAGGGTTTCAGAGCTGCTCTGTCAAGAGGAAAGTTCAATTCTTGAAGTGGAACACAAACATCACAAAGCAGTTTCTGAGAATGCTCCTGTTTAGTTTTTCTGTGAAGATGAACCCGTTTCCAACGAAATCTTCACAGAGGTCCACATATCCACTTGCAGAATCCAAAGAAAGAGAGTTTCAAAACTGCTATTCAGCAGGATTGTTAACCTCTGTGAGTTGAATGCAGTCATCACAGGAAACATTCTGAGAATGCTTCTGTCTAGGTTTGATGTGAAGATATACCCGTTTCGAAGGAAGGCCACAAAGTGGTCCAAATATCCACTTGCAGATTCTACAAAAAGAGTGTTTGAAAGCTGAACTATGAAAGCAAGGTTCAACTCTGTGAGTTGAATGCAAACATCACAAAGAAGTTTCTCAGAATACTTCCGTGTAGTTCTGGGAAGTTTATCCCGTTTCCAACGAAATCCTCAGAGAGGTCCAAATATCCACTTGCAGATTCTACAGAAAGTGTGTTTGGAAACTGCTCCATCTAAAGGAATGTTCAGCTCTGTTAGTTCAATGCAATGATCACTAAGAATTGTCTGTGAATGCTTCCGTTTGGTTTTTACATGAAGTTATTTCCTTTACTACAGTAGGCCTCAAAGCAGTCCAAATCTGCAATCGCAGATTCTACAAAAAGATTGTTTACAACCTGCTCTATCTATAGGAATGTTCAACTCTGTGAGTCGAATGCAATCATCACAAAGTAGTTCCTGAGAATGCTTCCATCTAGTTTTTATGTGA
Organism: Homo sapiens; assembly: GCF_000001405.40. NCBI lineage: Eukaryota > Metazoa > Chordata > Mammalia > Primates > Hominidae > Homo > Homo sapiens. Next base: position 51,744,352 of record NC_000011.10, on the reverse strand, counting down.
AGATTTTCCTTTTCCACCACAGGCCTCAAAGCCCTCCAAATGTCCACTTGCAGATTCTAGAATAAGAGGGTTTTAGAGCTGCTCTGTCAAGAGGAAAGTTCAATTCCTGAAGTGGAACACAAACATCACAAAGCAGTTTCTGAGAATGCTTCTGTTTAGTTTTTCTGTGAAGATGAACCCGTTTCCAACGAAATCTTCACAGAGGTCCACATATCCACTTGCAGAATCCAAAGAAAGAGAGTTTCAAAACTGCTCCATCAGCAGGATTGTTCACCTCTGTGAGTTGAATGCAGTCAACACAGGAAACATTCTGAGAATGCTTCTGTCTAGGTTTGATGTGAAGATATACCCGTTTCCAAGGAAGGCCACAAAGTGGTCCAAATATCCACTTGCAGATTCTACAAAAGGAGTGTTTGAAAGCTGAACTATGAAAGCAAGGTTCAACTCTGTGAGTTGAATGCAAACATCACAAAGAAGTTTCTCACAATGCTTCCGTGTAGTTCTGGGAAGTTTATCCAGTTTCCAACGAAATCCTCAGAGAAGTCCAAATATCCACTTGCAGATTCTACAGAAAGTGGGTTTGGAAACTGCTCCATCTAAAGGAATGTTCAGCTCTGTTAGTTCAAACCAATGATCACTAAGAATTGTCTGTGAATGCTTCCGTTTGGTTTTTAGATGAAGTTATTTCCTTTACTACAGTAGGCCTCAAAGCAGTCCAAATCTCCAATCGCAGATTCTACAAAAAGATTGTTTACAACCTGCTCTATCTATAGGAATGTTCAACTCTGTGAGTCGAATGCAATCATCACAAAGTAGTTTCTGAGAATGCTTCCATCTAGTTTTTATGTGAAGATTTTCCTTTTCCACCACAGGCCTCAAAGCCCTCCAAATGTCCACTTGCAGATTCTAGAAAAAGAGGGTTTCAGAGCTGCTCTGTCAAGAGGAAAGTTCAATTCTTGAAGTGGAACACAAACATCACAAAGCAGTTTCTGAGAATGCTCCTGTTTAGTTTTTCTGTGAAGATGAACCCGTTTCCAACGAAATCTTCACAGAGGTCCACATATCCACTTGCAGAATCCAAAGAAAGTTTCAAAACTGCTCCATCAGCAGGATTGTTCACCTCTGTGAGTTGAATGCAGTCATCACAGGAAACATTCTGAGAATGCTTCTGTCTAGGTTTGATGTGAAGATATACCCGTTTCGAAGGAAGGCCACAAAGTGGTCCAAATATCCACTTGCAGATTCCACAAAAAGAGTGTTTGAAAGCTGAACTATGAAAGCAAGGTTCAACTCTGTGAGTTGAATGCAAACATCACAGAGAAGTTTCTCACAATGCTTCCGTGTAGTTCTGGGAAGTTTATCCCGTTTCCAACGAAATCCTCAGAGAAGTCCAAATATCCACTTGCAGATTCTACAGAAAGTGTGTTTGGAAACTGCTCCATCTAAAGGAATGTTCAGCTCTGTTAGTTCAATCCAATGATCACTAAGAATTGTCTGTGAATGCTTCCGTTTGGTTTTTAGATGAAGTTATTTCCTTTACTACAGTAGGCCTCAAAGCAGTCCAAATCTCCAATCGCAGATTCTACAAAAAGATTGTTTACAACCTGCTCTATCTATAGGAATGTTCAACTCTGTGAGTCGAATGCAATCATCACAAAGTAGTTTCTGAGAATGCTTCCATCTAGTTTTTATGTGAAGATTTTCCTTTTCCACCACAGGCCTCAAAGCCCTCCAAATGTCCACTTGCAGATTCTAGAATAAGAGGGTTTCAGAGCTGCTCTGTCAAGAGGAAAGTTCAATTCCTGAAGTGGAACACAAACATAACAAAGCAGTTTCTGAGAATGCTTCTGTTTAGTTTTTCTGTGAAGATGAACCCGTTTCCAACGAAATCTTCACAGAGGTCCACATATCCACTTGCAGAATCCAAAGAAAGAGAGTTTCAAAACTGCTCCATCAACAGGATTGTTCACCTCTGTGAGTTGAATGCAGTCATCACAGGAAACATTCTGAGAATGCTTCTGTCTAGGTTTGATGTGAAGATATACACGTTTCGAAGGAAGGCCACAAAGTGGTCCAAATATCCACTTGCAGATTCTACTAAAAGAGTGTTTGAAAGCTGAACTATGAAAGCAAGTTTCAACTCTGTGAGTTGAATGCAAACATCACAAAGAAGTTTCTCACAATGCTTCCGTGTAGTTCTGAGAAGTTTATCCCGTTTCCAACGAAATCCTCAGAGAAGTCCAAATATCCACTTTCAGATTCTACAGAAAGTGTGTTTGGAAACTGCTCCATCTAAAGGAATGTTCAGCTCTGTTAGTTCAATGCAATGATCACTAAGAATTGTCTGTGAATGCTTCCGTTTGGTTTTTAGATAAAGTTATTTCCTTTACTACAGTAGGCCTCAAAGCAGTCCAAATCTCCAATCGCAGATTCTACAAAAAGATTGTTTACAACCTACTCTATCTATAGGAATGTTCAACTCTGTGAGTCGAATGCAATCATCACAAAGTAGTTTCTGAGAATGCTTCCATCTAGTTTTTATGTGAAGATTTTCCTTTTCCACCACAGGCCTCAAAGCCCTCCAAATGTCCACTTGCAGATTCTAGAATAAGAGGGTTTCAGAGCTGCTCTGTCAAGAGGAAAATACAATTCCTGAAGTGGAACACAAACATCACAAAGCAGTTTCTGAGAATGCTTCTTTTTAGTTTTTCTGTGAAGATGAACCCGTTTCCAACGAAATCTTCACAGAGGTCCACATATCAACTTGCAGAATCCAAAGAAAGAGAGTTTCAAAACTGCTCCATCAACAGGATTGTTCACCTCTGTGAGTTGAATGCAGTCATCACAGGAAACATTCTGAGAATGCTTCTGTCTAGGTTTGATGTGAAGATATACCCGTTTCGAAGCAAGGCCACAAAGTGGTCCAAATATCCACTTGCAGATTCTACAAAAAGAGTGTTTGAAAGCTGAACTATGAAAGCAAGGTTCAACTCTGTGAGTTGAATGCAAACATCACAAAGAAGTTTCTCAGAATGCTTCCGTGTAGTTCTGGGAAGTTTATCCCGTTTCCAACGAAATCCTCAGAGAAGTCCAAATATCCACTTGCAGATTCTACAGAAAGTGTGTTTGGAAACTGCTCCATCTAAAGGAATGTTCAGCTCTGTTAGTTCAATGCAATGATCACTAAGAATTGTCTGTGAATGCTTCCGTTTGGTTTTTAGATGAAGTTATTTCCTTTACTACAGTAGGCCTCAAAGCAGTCCAAATCTCCAATCGCAGATTCTACAAAAAGATTGTTTACAACCTGCTCTATCTATAGGAATGTTCAACTCTGTGAGTCGAATGCAATCATCACAAAGTAGTTTCTGAGAATGCTTCCATCTAGTTTTTATGTGAAGATTTTCCTTTTCCACCACAGGCCTCAAAGCCCTCCAAATGTCCACTTGCAGATTCTAGAAAAAGAGGGTTTCAGAGCTGCTCTGTCAAGAGGAAAGTTCAATTCCTGAAGTGGAACACAAACATCACAAAGCAGTTTCTGAGAATGCTCCTGTATAGTTTTCCTGTGAAGATGAACCCGTTTCCAACGAAATCTTCACAGAGGTCCACATATCCACTTGCAGAATCCAAAGAAAGAGAGTTTCAAAACTGCTCCATCAACAGGATTGTTCACCTCTGTGAGTTGAATGCAGTCATCACAGGAAACATTCTGAGAATGCTTCTGTCTAGGTTTGATGTGAAGATATACCCGTTTCGAAGGAAGGCCACAAAGTGGTCCAAATATCCACTTGCAGATTCTACAAAAAGAGTGTTTGAAAGCTGAACTATGAAAGCAAGGTTCAACTCTGTGAGTTGAATGCAAACATCACAAAGAAGTTTCTCAGAATGCTTCCCTGTAGTTCTGGGAAGTTTATCCCGTTTCCAACGAAATCCTCAGAGAAGTCCAAATATCCACTTGCAGATTCTACAGAAAGTGTGTTTGGAAACTGCTCCATCTAAAGGAATGTTCAGCTCTGTTAGTTCAATCCAATGATCACTAAGAATTGTCTGTGAATGCTTCCGTTTGGTTTTTAGATGAAGTTATTCCCTTTACTACTGTAGGCCTCAAAGCAGTCCAGATCTCCAATCGCAGATTCTACAAAAAGATTGTTTACAACCTGCTCTATCTATAGGAATGTTCAACTCTGTGAGTCGAATGCAATCATCACAAAGTAGTTTCTGAGCATGCTTCCATCTAGTTTTTATGTGAAGATTTTCCTTTTCCACCACAGGCCTCAAATCCCTCCAAATGTCCACTTGCAGACTCTAGAAAAAGAGGGTTTCAGAGCTGCTCTGTCAAGAGGAAAGTTCAATTCTTGAAGTGGAACACAAACATCACAAAGCAGTTTCTGAGAATGCTTCTGTTTAGTTTTTCTGTGAAGATGAACCCGTTTCCAACGAAATCTTCACAGAGGTCCCCATATCAACTTGCAGAATCCAAAGAAAGAGAGTTTCAAAAGTGCTACATCAACAGGATTGTTCACCTCTGTGAGTTGAATGCAGTCATCACAGGAAACATTCTGAGAATGCTTCTGTCTAGGTTTGATGTGAAGATATACCCGTTTCGAAGGAAGGCCACAAAGTGGTCCAAATATCCACTTGCAGATTCTACAAAAAGAGTGTTTGAAAGCTGAACTATGAAAGCAAGGTTCAACTCTGTGAGTTGAATGCAAACATCACAAAGAAGTTTCTCAGCATGCTTCCGTGTAGTTCTGGGAAGTTTATCCCGTTTCTAACGAAATCCTCAGAGAAGTCCAAATATCCACTTGCAGATTCCACAGAAAGTGTGTTTGGAAACTGCTCCATCTAAAGGAATGTTCAGCTCTGTTAGTTCAATGCAATGATCACTAAGAATTGTCTGTGAATGCTTCCGTTTGGTTTTTAGATGAAGTTATTTCCTTTACTACAGTAGGCCTCAAAGCAGTCCAAATCTCCAATCGCAGATTCTACAAAAAGATTGTTTACAACCTGCTCTATCTATAGGAATGTTCAACTCTGTGAGTCGAATGCAATCATCACAAAGTAGTTTCTGAGAATGCTTCCATCTAGTTTTTATGTGAAGAGTTTCCTTTTCCACCACAGGCCTCAAAGCCCTCCAAATGTCCACTTGCAGATTCTAGAAAAAGAGGGTTTCAGAGCTGCTCTGTCAAGAGGAAAGTTCAATTCCTGAAGAGGAACACAAACATCACAAAGCAGTTTCTGAGAATGCTCCTGTTTAGTTTTTCTGTGAAGATGAACCCGTTTCCAACGAAATCTTCACAGAGGTCCACATATCCACTTGCAGAATCCAAAGACAGAGAGTTTCAAAACTGCTCCATCAACAGGATTGTTCACCTCTGTGAGTTAAATGCAGTCATCACAGGAAACATTCTGAGAATGCTTCTGTCTAGGTTTGATGTGAAGATATACCCGTTTCGAAGGAAGGCCACAAAGTGGTCCAAATATCCACTTGCAGATTCTACAAAAAGAGTGTTTGAAAGCTGAACTATGAAAGCAAGGTTCAACTCTGTGAGTTGAATGCAAACATCACAAAGAAGTTTCTCAGAATACTTCCGTGTAGTTCTGGAAAGTTTATCCCGTTTCCAACGAAATCCTCAGAGAAGTCCAAATATCCCCTTGCAGATTCTACAGAAAGTGGGTTTGGAAACTGCTCCATCTAAAGGAATGTTCAGCTCTGTTAGTTCAATCCAATGATCACTAAGAATTGTCTGTGAATGCTCCCGTTTGGTTTTTAGATGAAGTTATTTCCTTTACTACAGTAGGCCTCAAAGCAGTCCAAATCTCCAATCGCAGATTCTACAAAAAGATTGTTTACAACCTGCTCTATCTATAGGAATGTTCAACTCTGTGAGTCGAATGCAATCATCACAAAGTAGTTTCTGAGAATGCTTTCCATCTAGTTTTTATGTGAAGATTTTCCTTTTCCACCACAGGCCTCTAAGCCCTCCAAATGTCCACTTGCAGTTTCTAGAAAAAGAGGGTTTCAGAGCTGCTCTGTCAAGAGGAAAGTTCAATTCTTGAAGTGGAACACAAACATCACAAAGCAGTTTCTGAGAATGCTCCTGTTTAGTTTTTCTGTGAAGATGAACCCGTTTCCAACGAAATCTACACAGAGGTCCACATATCCACTTGCACAATCCAAAGAAAGAGAGTTTCAAAACTGCTCCATCAGCAGGATTGTTCACCTCTGTGAGTTGAATGCAGTCATCACAGGAAACATTCTGAGAATGCTTCTGTCTAGGTTTGATGTGAAGATATACCCGTTTCGAAGGAAGGCCACAAAGTGGTCCAAATATCCACTTGCAGATTCTACAAAAAGAGTGTTTGAAAGCTGAACTATGAAAGCAAGGTTCAACTCTGTGAGTTGAATGCAAACATCACAAAGAAGTTTCTCACAATGCTTCCGTGTAGTTCTGGGAAGTTTATCCCGTTTCCAACGAAATCCTCAGAGAAGTCCAAATATCCACTTGCAGATTCTTCAGAAAGTGGGTTTGGAAACTGCTCCATCTAAAGGAATGTTCAGCTCTGTTAGTTCAATCCAATGATCACTAAGAATTGTCTGTGAATGCTTCCGTTTGGTTTTTAGATGAAGTTATTTCCTTTACTACAGTAGGCCTCAAAGCAGTCCAAATCTCCAATCGCAGATTCTACAAATAGATTGTTTACAACCTGCTCTATCTATAGGAATGTTCAACTCTGTGAGTCGAATGCAATCATCACAAAGTAGTTTCTGAGAATGCTTCCATCTAGTTTTTATGTGAAGATTTTCCTTTTCCACCACAGGCCTCAAAGCCCTCCAAATGTCCACTTGCAGATTCTAGAAAAAGAGGGTTTCAGAGCTGCTCTGTCAAGAGGAAAGTTCAATTCTTGAAGTGGAACACAAACATCACAAAGCAGTTTCTGAGAATGCTTCTGTTTAGTTTTTCTGTGAAGATGAACCCGTTTCCAACGAAATCTTCACAGAGGTCCACATATCCACTTGCAGAATCCAAAGAAAGAGAGTTTCAAAACTGCTCCATCAACAGGATTGTTCACCTGCTGTGAGTTGAATGCAGTCATCACAGGAAACATTCTGAGAATGCTTCTGTCTAGGTTTGATGTGAAGATATACCCGTTTCGAAGGAAGGCCACAAAGTGGTCCAAATATCCACTTGCAGATTCTACAAAAAGAGTGTTTGAAAGCTGAACTATGAAAGCAAGGTTCAACTCTGTGAGTTGAATGCAAACATCACAAAGAAGTTTCTCAGAATGCTTCCGTGTAGTTCTGGGAAGTTTATCCCGTTTCCAATGAAATCCTCAGAGAGGTCCAAATATCCACTTGCAGATTCTACAGAAAGTGTGTTTGGAAACTGCTCCATCTAAAGGAATGTTCAGCTCTGTTAGTTCAATCCAATAATCACTAAGCATTGTCTGTGAATGCTTCCGTTTGGTTTTTAGATGAAGTTATTTCCTTTACTACAGTAGGCCTCAAAGCAGTCCAAATCTCCAATCGCAGATTCTACAAAAAGATTGTTTACAACCTGCTCTATCTATAGGAATGTTCAACTCTGTGAGTCGAATGCAATCATCACAAAGTAGTTTCTGAGAATGCTTCCATCTAGTTTTTATGTGAAGATTTTCCTTTTCCACCACAGGCCTCAAAGCCCTCCAAATGTCCACTTGCAGATTCTAGAATAAGAGGGTTTCAGAGCTGCTCTGTCAAGAGGAAAGTTCAATTCCTGAAGTGGAACACAAACATCACAAAGCAGTTTCTGAGAATGCTCCTGTTTAGTTTTTCTGTGAAGATGAACCCGTTTCCAACGAAATCTTCACAGAGGTCCACATATCCACTTGCAGAATCCAAAGAAAGAGAGTTCCAAAACTGCTCCATCAGCAGGATTGTTCACCTCTGTGAGTTGAATGCAGTCATCACAGGAAACATTCTGAGAATGCTTCTGTCTAGGTTTGATGTGAAGATATACCCGTTTCGAAGGAAGGCCACAAAGTGGTCCAAATATCCACTTGCAGATTCTACAAAAAGAGTGTTTGAAAGCTGAACTATGAAAGCAAGGTTCAACTCTGTGAGTTGAATGCAAACATCACAAAGAAGTTTCTCACAATGCTTCCGTGTAGTTCTGGGAAGTTTATCCCGTTTCCAACGAAATCCTCAGAGAGGTCCAAATATCCACTTGCAGATTCTACAGAAAGTGTGTTTGGAAACTGCTCCATCTAAAGGAATGTTCAGCTCTGTTAGTTCAATCCAATGATCACTAAGAATTGTCTGTGAATGCTTCCGTTTGGTTTTTAGATGAAGTTATTTCCTTTACTACAGTAGGCCTCAAAGCAGTCCAAACCTCCAATCGCAGATTCTACAAAAAGATTGTTTACAACCTGCTCTATCTATAGGAATGTTCAACTCTGTGAGTCGAATGCAATCATCACAAAGTAGTTTCTGAGAATGCTTCCATCTAGTTTTTATGTGAAGATTTTCCTTTTCCACCACAGGCCTCAAAGCCCTCCAAATGTCCACTTGCAGATTCTAGAAAAAGAGGGTTTCAGAGCTGCTCTGTCAAGAGGAAAGTTCAATTCTTGAAGTGGAACACAAACATCACAAAGTAGCTTCTGAGAATGCTTCTGTTTAGTTTTTCTGTGAAGATGAACCGGTTTCCAACGAAATCTTCACAGAGGTCCACATATCAACTTGCAGAATCCAAAGAAAGAGAGTTTCAAAAGTGCTCCATCAACAGGATTGTTCACCTCTGTGAGTTGAATGCAGTCATCACAGGAAACATTCTGATAATGCTTCTTTCTAGGTTTGATGTGAAGATATACCCGTTTCGAAGGAAGGCCACAAAGTGGTCCAAATATCCACTTGCAGATTCTACAAAAAGAGTGTTTGAAAGCTGAACTATGAAAGCAAGGTTCAACTCTGTGAGTTGAATGCAAACATCACAAAGAAGTTTCTCAGCATGCTTCCGTGTAGTTCTGGGAAGTTTATCCCGTTTCCAACGAAATCCTCAGAGAGGTCCAAATATCCACTTGCAGATTCTACAGAAAGTGGGTTTGGAAACTGCGCCATCTAAAGCAATGTTCAGCTCTGTTAGTTCAATGCAATGATCACTAAGAATTGTCTGTGAATGCTTCCGTTTGGTTTTTAGATGAAGTTATTTCCTTTACTACAGTAGGCCTCAAAGCAGTCCAAATCTCCAATCGCAGATTCTACAAAAAGATTGTTTACAACCTGCTCTATCTATAGGAATGTTCAACTCTGTGAGTCGAATGCAATCATCACAAAGTAGTTTCTGAGAATGCTTCCATCTAGTTTTTATGGGAAGATTTTCCTTTTCCACCACAGGCCTCAAAGCCCTCCAAATGTCCACTTGCAGATTCTAGAAAAAGAGGGTTTCAGAGCTGCTCTGTCAAGAGGAAAGTTCAATTCTTGAAGTGGAACACAAACATCACAAAGCAGTTTCTGAGAATGCTTCTGTTTAGTTTTTCTGTGAAAATGAACCCGTTTCCAACGAAATCTTCACAGAGGTCCACATATCCACTTGCAGAATCCAAAGAAAGAGAGATTCAAAACTGCTCCATCAACAGGATTGTTCACCTCTGTGAGTTGAATGCAGTCATCACAGGAAACATTCTGAGAATGCTTCTGTCTAGGTTTGATGTGAAGATATACCCGTTTCGAAGGAAGGCCACAAAGTGGTCCAAATATCCACTTGCAGATTCTACAAAAAGAGTGTTTGAAAGCTGAACTATGAAAGCAAGGTTCAACTCTGTGAGTTGAATGCAAACATCAAAAAGAAGTTTCTCAGAATGCTTCCGTGTAGTTCTGGGAAGTTTATCCCGTTTCCAACGAAATCCTCACAGAGGTCCAAATATCCACTTGCAGATTCTACAGAAAGTGTGTTTGGAAACTGCTCCATCTAAAGGAATGTTCAGCTCTGTTAGTTCAATGCAATGATCACTAAGAATTGTCTGTGAATGCTTCCGTTTGGTTTTTAGATGAAGTTATTTCCTTTACTACAGTAGGCCTCAAAGCAGTCCAAATCTCCAATCGCAGATTCTACAAAAAGATTGTTTACAACCTGCTCTATATATAGGAATGTTCAACTCTGTGAGTCGAATGCAATCATCACAAAGTAGTTTCTGAGAATGCTTCCATCTAGTTTTTATGTGAAGATTTTCCTTTTCCACCACAGGCCTCAAAGCCCTCCAAATGTCCACTTGCAGATTCTAGAAAAAGAGGGTTTCAGAGCTGCTCTGTCAAGAGGAAAGTTCAATTCCTGAAGTGGAACACAAACATCACAAAGCAGTTTCTGAGAATGCTTCTGTTTAGTTTTTCTGTGAAAATGAACCCGTTTCCAACGAAATCTTCACAGAGGTCCACATATCCACTTGCAGAATCCAAAGAAGGAGAGTTTCAAAACTGCTCCATCAGCAGGATTGTTCACCTCTGTGAGTTGAATGCAGTCATCACAGGTAACATTCTGAGAATGCTTCTGTCTAGGTTTGATGTGAAGATATACCCGTTTCGAAGGAAGGCCACAAAGTGGTCCAAATATCCACTTGCAGATTCTACAAAAAGAGTGTTTGAAAGCTGAACTATGAAAGCAAGGTTCAACTCTGTGAGTTGAATGCAAACATCACAAAGAAGTTTCTCAGAATGCTTCCGTGTAGTTCTGGGAAGTTTATCCCGTTTCCAACGAAATCCTCAGAGAAGTCCAAATATCCACTTGCAGATTCTACAGAAAGTGTGTTTGGAAACTGCTCCATCTAAAGGAATGTTCAGCTCTGTTAGTTCAATCCAATGATCACTAAGAATTGTCTGTGAATGCTTCCGTTTGGTTTTCAGATGAAGTTATTTCCTTTACTACAGTAGGCCTCAAAGCAGTCCAAATCTCCAATCGCAGATTCTACAAAAAGATTGTTTACAACCTGCTCTATCTATAGGAATGTTCAACTCTGTGAGTCGAATGCAATCATCACAAAGTAGTTTCTGAGAATGCTTCCATAAAGTTTTTACGTGAAGATTTTCCTTTTCCACCACAGACCTCAAAGCCCTCCAAATGTCCACTTGCAGATTCTAGAAAAAGAGGGTTTCAGAGCTGCTCTGTCAAGAGGAAAGTTCAATTCTTGAAGTGGAACACAAACATCACAATGCAGTTTCTGAGAATGCTCCTGTTTAGTTTTTCTGTGAAGATGAACCCGTTTCCAACGAAATCTTCACAGAGGTCCACATATCCACTTGCAGAATCCAAAGAAAGAGAGTTTCAACGCTGCTCCATCAGCAGGATTGTTCACCTCTGTGAGTTGAATGCAGTCATCACAGGAAACATTCTGAGAATGCTTCTGTCTAGGTTTGATGTGAAGATATACCCGTTTCGAAGGAAGGCCACAAAGTGTTCCAAATATCCACTTGCAGATTCTACAAAAAGAGTGTTTGAAAGCTGAACTATGAAAGCAAGGTTCAACTCTGTGAGTTGAATGCAAACATCACAAAGAAGTTTCTCAGAATGCTTCCGTGTAGTACTGGGAAATTTATCCCGTTTCCAACGAAATCCTCAGAGAGGTCCAAATATCCACTTGCAGATTCTACAGAAAGTGTGTTTGGAAACTGCGCCATCTAAAGGAATGTTCAGCTCTGTTAGTTCAATGCAATGATCACTAAGAATTGTCTGTGAATGCTTCCGTTTGGTTTTTAGATGAAGTTATTTCCTTTACTACAGTAGGCCTCAAAGCAGTCCAAATCTCCAATCGCAGATTCTACAAAAAGATTGTTTACAACCTGCTCTATCTATAGGAATGTTCAACTCTGTGAGTCGAATGCAATCATCACAAAGTAGTTTCTGAGAATGCTTCCATCTAGTTTTTATGTGAAGATTTTCCTTTTCCACCACAGGCCTCAAAGCCCTCCAAATGTCCACTTGCAGATTCTAGAATAAGAGGGTTTCAGAGCTGCTCTGTCAAGAGGAAAGTTCAATTCTTGAAGTGGAACACAAACATCACAAAGCAGTTTCTGAGAATGCTTCTGTTTAGTTTTTCTGTGAAGATGAACCCGTTTCCAACGAAATCTTCACAGAGGTCCACATATCAACTTGCAGAATCCAAAGAAAGAGAGTTTCAAAAGTTCTCCATCAACAGGATTGTTCACCTCTGTGAGTTGAATGCAGTCATCACAGGAAACATTCTGAGAATGCTTCTGTCTAGGTTTGATGTGAAGATATACCCGTTTCGAAGGAAGGCCACAAAGTGGTCCAAATATCCACTTGCAGATTCTACAAAAAGAGTGTTTGAAAGCTGAACTATGAAAACAAGGTTCAACTCTGTGAGTTGAATGCAAACATCACAAAGAAGTTTCTCAGAATGCTTCCGTGTAGTTCTGGGAAGTTTATCCCGTTTCCAACGAAATCCTCAGAGAAGTCCAAATATCCACTTGTAGATTCTACAGAAAGTGTGTTTGGAAACTGCTCCATCTAAAGGAATGTTCAGCTCTGTTGGTTCAATCCAATGATCACTAAGAATTGTCTGTGAATACTTCCGTTTGGTTTTTAGATGAAGTTATTTCCTTTACTACAGTAGGCCTCAAAGCAGTCCAAATCTCCAATCGCAGATTCTACAAAAAGATTGTTTACAACCTGCTCTATCTATAGGAATGTTCAACTCTGTGAGTCGAATGCAATCATCACAAAGTAGTTTCTGAGAATGCTTCCATCTAGTTTTTATGTGAAGATTTTCCTTTTCCACCACAGGCCTCAAAGCCCTCCAAATGTCCACTTGCAGATTCTAGAAAAAGAGGGTTTCAGAGCTGCTCCGTCAAGAGGAAAGTTCAATTCCTGAAGTGGAACAAAAACATCACAAAGCAGTTTCTGAGAATGCTTCTGTTTAGTTTTTCTGTGAAGATGAACCCGTTTCCAACGAAATCTTCACAGAGGTCCACATATCCACTTGCAGAATCCAAAGAAAGAGAGTTTCAAAACTGCTCCATCAGCAGGATTGTTCACCTCTGTGAGTTGAATGCAGTCATCACAGGAAACATTCTGAGAATGCTTCTGTCTAGGTTTGATGTGAAGATATACCCGTTTCGAAGGAAGGCCGCAAAGTGGTCCAAATATCCACTTGCAGATTCTACAAAAAGAGTGTTTGAAAGCTGAACTATGAAAGCAAGGTTCAACTCTGTGAGTTGAATGCAAACATCACAAAGAAGTTTCTCAGAATGCTTCCGTGTAGTTCTGGGAAGTTTATCCCATTTCCAACGAAATCCTCAGAGAAGTCCAAATATCCACTTGCAGATTCTGCAGAAAGTGTGTTTGGAAACTGCTCCATCTAAAGGAATGTTCAGCTCTGTTAGTTCAATCCAATGATCACTAAGAATTGTCTGTGAATGCTTCCGTTTGGTTTTTAGATGAAGTTATTTCCTTTACTACAGTAGGCCTCAAAGCAGTCCAAATCTCCAATCGCAGATTCTACAAAAACATTGTTTACAACCTGCTCTATCTATAGGAATGTTCAACTCTGTGAGTCGAATGCAATCATCACAAAGTAGTTTCTGAGAATGCTTCCATCTAGTTTTTATGTGAAGATTTTCCTTTTCCACCACAGGCCTCAAAGCCCTCCAAATGTCCACTTGCAGATTCTAGAAAAAGAGGGTTTCAGAGCTGCTCTGTCAAGAGGAAAGTTCAATTCTTGAAGTGGAACAGAAACATCACAAAGCAGTTTCTGGGAATGCTTCTGTTTAGTTTTTCTGTGAAGATGAACCCGTTTCCAACGAAATCTTCACAGAGGTCCACATATCCACTTGCAGAATCCAAAGAAAGAGAGTTTCAAAACTGCTCCATCAGCAGGATTGTTCACCTCTGTGAGTTGAATGCAGTCATCACAGGAAACATTCTGAGAATGCTTCTGTCTAGGTTTGATGTGAAGATATACCCGTTTCGAAGGAAGGCCACAAAGGGGTCCAAATATCCACTTGCAGATTCTACAAAAAGAGTGTTTGAAAGCTGAACTATGAAAGCAAGGTTCAACTCTGTGAGTTGAATGCAAACATCACAAAGAAGTTTCTCCCAATGCTTCCCTGTAGTTCTGGGAAGTTTATCCCGTTTCCAACGAAATCCTCAGAGAAGTCCAAATATCCACTTGCAGATTCTACAGAAAGTGTGTTTGGAAACTGCTCCATCTAAAGGAATGTTCAGCTCTGTTAGTTCAATCCAATGATCACTAAGAATTGTCTGTGAATGCTTCCGTTTGGTTTTTAGATGAAGTTATTTCCTTTACTACAGTAGGCCTCAAAGCAGTCCAAATCTCCAATCGCAGATTCTACAAAAAGATTGTTTACAACCTGCTCTACCTATAGGAATGTTCAACTCTGTGAGTCGAATGCAATCATCACAAAGTAGTTTCTGAGAATGCTTCCATAAAGTTTTTATGTGAAGATTTTCCTTTTCCACCACAGGCCTCAAAGCCCTCCAAATGTCCACTTGCAGATTCTAGAAAAAGAGGGTTTCAGAGCTGCTCTGTCAAGAGGAAAGTTCAACTCTTTAAGTGGAACACAATCATGATAATGCAGTTTCTGAGAATGCTTCTGTTTAGTTTTTCTGTGAAGATGAACCCGTTTCCAACGAAATCTTTACAGAGGTCCACATATCCACTTGCAGAATCCAAAGAAAGAGAGTTTCAAAACTGCTCCATCAACAGGATTGTTCACCTCTGTGAGTTGAATGCAGTCATCACAGGAAACATTCTGAGAATGCTTCTGTCTAGGTTTGATGTGAAGATATACCCGTTTCGAAGGAAGGCCACAAAGTGGTCGAAATATCCACTTGCAGATTCTACAAAAAGAGTGTTTGAAAGCTGAACTATGAAAGCAAGGTTCAACTCTGTGAGTTGAATGCAAACATCACAAAGAAGTTTCTCACAATGCTTCCGTGTAGTTCTGGGAAGTTTATCCCGTTTCCAACGAAATCCTCAGAGAAGTCCAAATATCCACTTGCAGATTCTACAGAAAGTGGGTTTGGAAACTACTCCATCTAAAGGAATGTTCAGCTCTGTTAGTTCAATCCAATGATCACTAAGAATTGTCTGTGAATGCTTCCGTTTGGTTTTTAGATGAAGTTATTTCCTTTACTACAGTAGGCCTCAAAGCAGTCCAAATCTCCAATCGCAGATTCTACAAAAAGATTGTTTACAACCTGCTCTATCTATAGGAATGTTCAACTCTGTGAGTCGAATGCAATCATCACAAAATAGTTTCTGAGAATGCTTCCATCTAGTTTTTATGTGAAGATTTTCCTTTTTCACCACAGGCCTCAAACCCTCCATATGTCCACTTGCAGATTCTAGAAAAAGAGGGTTTCAGAGCTGCTCTGTCAAGAGGAAAGTTCAATTCTTGAAGTGGAACACAAACATAACAAAGCAGTTTCTGAGAATGCTCCTGTTTAGTTTTTCTGTGAAGATGAACCCGTTTCCAACGAAATCTTCACAGAGGTCCACATATCCACTTCCAGAATCCAAAGAAAGAGAGTTTCAAAACTGCTCCATCAGCAGGATTGTTCACGTCTGTGAGTTGAAAGCAGTCATCACAGGAAACATTCTGAGAATGCTTCTGTCTAGGTTTGATGTGAAGATATACCCGTTTCGAAGGAAGGCCACAAAGTGGTCCAAATATCCACTTGCAGATTCTACAAAAAGAGTGTTTGAAAGCTGAACTATGAAAGCAAGGTTCAACTCTGTGAGTTGAATGCAAACATCACAAAGAAGTTTCTCAGAATGCTTCCGTGTAGTTCTGGGAATTTTATGCCGTTTCCAACGAAATCCTCAGAGAGGTCCAAATATCGACTTGCAGATTCCACAGAAAGTGTGTTTGGAAACTGCGCCATCTAAGGGAATGTTCAGCTCTGTTAGTTCAATCCAATGATCACTAAGAATTGTCTGTGAATGCTTCCGTTTGGTTTTTAGATGAAGTTATTTCCTTTACTACAGTAGGCCTCAAAGCAGTCCAAATCTCCAATCGCAGATTCTACAAAAAGATTGTTTACAACCTGCTCTATCTATAGGAATGTTCAACTCTGTGAGTCGAATGCAATCATCACAAAGGAGTTTCTGAGAATGCTTCCATCTAGTTTTTATGTGAAGATTTTCCTTTTCCACCACAGGCCTCAAAGCCCTCCAAATGTCCACTTGCAGATTCTAGAAAAAGAGGGTTTCAGAGCTGCTCTGTCAAGAGGAAAGTTCAATTCTTGAAGTGGAACACAAACATCACAAAGCAGTTTCTGAGAATGTTTCTGTTTAGTTTTTCTGTGAAGATGAACCCGTTTCCAACGAAATCTTCACAGAGGTCCACATATCAACTTGCAGAATCCAAAGAAAGAGAGTTTCAAAAGTGCTACATCAACAGGATTGTTCACCTCTGTGAGTTGAATGCAGTCATCACAGGAAACATTCTGAGAATGATTCTGTCTAGGTTTGATGTGAAGATATACCCGTTTCGAAGGAAGGCCACAAAGTGGTCCAAATATCCACTTGCAGATTCTACAAAAAGAGTGTTTGAAAGCTGAACTATGAAAGCAAGGTTCAACTCTGTGAGTTGAATGCAAACATCACAAAGAAGTTTCTCAGCATGCTTCCGTGTAGTTCTGGGAAGTTTATCCCTTTTCCAACGAAATCCTCAGAGAGGTCCAAATATCCACTTGCAGATTCTACAGAAAGTGTGTTTGGAAACTGCGCCATCTAAAGCAATGTTCAGCTCTGTTAGTTCAATGCAATGATCACTAAGAATTGTCTGTGAATGCTTCCCGTTTGGTTTTTAGATGAAGTTATTTAATTTACTACAGTAGGCCTCAAAGCAGTCCAAATCTCCAATCGCAGATTCTACAAAAAGATTGTTTACAACCTGCTCTATCTATAGGAATGTTCAACTCTGTGAGTCGAATGCAATCATCCCAAAGTAGTTTCTGAGAATGCTTCCATCTAGTTTTTATGTGAAGATTTTCCTTTTCCACCGCAGGCCTCAAAGCCCTCCAAATGTCCACTTGCAGATTCTAGAATAAGAGGGTTTCAGAGCTGCTCTGTCAAGAGGAAAGTTCAATTCCTGAAGTGGAACACAAACATCACAAAGCAGTTTCTGAGAATGCTTCTGTTTAGTTTTTTTGTGAAGATGAACCCGTTTCCAACGAAATCTTCACAGAGGTCCACATATCCACTTGCAGAATCCAAAGAAAGAGAGTTTCAAAACTGCTCCATCAGCAGGATTGTTCACCTCTGTGAGTTGAATGCAGTCATCACAGGAAACATTCTGAGAATGCTTCTGTCTAGGTTTGATGTGAAGATATACCCGTTTCGAAGGAAGGCCTCAAAGTGGTCCAAATATCCACTTGCAGATTCTACAAAAAGAGTGTTTGAAAGCTGAACTATGAAAGCAAGGTTCAACTCTGTGAGTTGAATGCAAACATCACAAAGAAATTTCTCAGAATGCTTCCGTGTAGTTCTGGGAAGTTTATCCCGTTTCCAACGAAATCCTCAGAGAAGTCCAAATATCCACTTGCAGATTCTACAGAAAGTGTGTTTGGAAACTGCTCCATCTAAAGGAATGTTCAGCTCTTTTAGTTCAATCCAATGATCACTAAGAATTGTCTGTGAATGCTTCCGTTTGGTTTTTAGATGAAGTTATTTCCTTTACTACAGTAGGCCTCAAAGCAGTCCAAATCTCCAATCGCAGATTCTACAAAAAGATTGTTTACAACCTGCTCTATCTATAGGAATGTTCAACTCTGTGAGTCGAATGCAATCATCACAAAGTAGTTTCTGAGAATGCTTCCATCTAGTTTTTATGTGAAGATTTTCCTTTTCCACCACAGGCCTCATAGCCCTCCAAATGTCCACTTGCAGATTCTAGAATAAGAGGGTTTCAGAGCTGCTCTGTCAAGAGGAAAGTTCAATTCCTGAAGTGGAACACAAACATCACAAAGCAGTTTCTGAGAATGCTTCTGTTTAGTTTTTCTGTGAAGATGAACCCGTTTCCAACGAAATCTTCACAGAGGTCCACATATCCACTTGCAGAATCCAAAGAAAGAGAGTTTCAAAACTGCTCCATCAGCAGGATTGTTCACCTCTGTGAGTTGAATGCAGTCATCACAGGAAACATTCTGAGAATGCTTCTGTCTAGGTTTGATGTGAAGATATACCCGTTTCGAAGGAAGGCCACAAAGTGGTCCAAATATCCACTTGCAGATTCCACAAAAAGAGTGTTTGAAAGCTGAACTATGAAAGCAAGGTTCAACTCTGTGAGTTGAATGCAAACATCACAAAGAAGTTTCTCACAATGCTTCCGTGTAGTTCTGGGAAGTTTATCCCGTTTCCAACGAAATCCTCAGAGAGGTCCAAATATCCACTTGCAGATTCTACAGAAAGTGTGTTTGGAAACTGCGCCATCTAAAGGAATGTTCAGCTCTGTTAGTTCAATGCAATGATCACTAAGAATTGTCTGTGAATGCTTCCGTTTGGTTTTTAGATGAAGTTATTTCCTTTACTACAGTAGGCCTCAAAGCAGTCCAAATCTCCAATCGCAGATTCTACAAAAAGATTGTTTACAACCTGCTCTATCTATAGGAATGTTCAACTCTGTGAGTCGAATGCAATCATCACAAAGTAGTTTCTGAGAATGCTTCCATCTAGTTTTTATGTGAAGATTTTCCTTTTCCACCACAGGCCTCAAAGCCCTCCAAATGTCCACTTGCAGATTCTAGAAAAAGAGGGTTTCAGAGCTGCTCTGTCAAGAGGAAAGTTCAATTCCTGAAGTGGAACACAAACATCACAAAGCAGTTTCTGAGAATGCTCCTGTTTAGTTTTTCTGTGAAGATGAACCCGTTTCCAACGAAATCTTCACAGAGGTCCACATATCCACTTGCAGAATCCAAAGAAAGGGAGTTTCAAAACTGCTCCATCAGCAGGATTGTTCACCTCTGTGAGTTGAATGCAGTCATCACAGGAAACATTCTGCGAATGCTTCTGTCTAGGTTTGATGTGAAGATATACCCGTTTCGAAGGAAGGCCACAAAGTGGTCCAAATATCCACTTGCAGATTCTACAAAAAGAGTGTTTGAAAGCTGAACTACGAAAGCAAGGTTCAACTCTGTGAGTTGAATGCAAACATCACAAAGAAGTTTCTCAGAATACTTCCGTGTAGTTCTAGGAAGTTTATCCCGTTTCCAACAAAATCCTCAGAGAGGTCCAAATATCCACTTGCAGATTCTACAGAAAGTGTGTTTGGAAACTGCTCCATCTAAAGGAATGTTCAGCTCTGTTAGTTCAATCCAATGATCACTAAGAATTGTCTGTGAATGCTTCCGTTTGGTTTTTAGATGAAGTTATTTCCTTTACTACAGTAGGCCTCAAAGCAGTCCAAATCTCCAATCGCAGATTCTACAAAAAGATTGTTTACAACCTGCTCTATCTATAGGAATGTTCAACTCTGTGAGTCGAATGCAATCATCACAAAGTAGTTTCTGAGAATGTTTCCATCTAGTTTTTATCTGAAGATTTTCCTTTTCCACCACAGGCCTCAAATCCCTCCAAATGTCCACTTGCAGATTCTAGAAAAAGAGGGTTTCAGAGCTGCTCTGTCAAGAGGAAAGTTCAATTCCTGAAGTGGAACACAAACATCACAAAGCTGTTTCTGAGAATGCTCCTGTTTAGTTTTTCTGTGAAGATGAACCCGTTTCCAACGAAATCTTCACAGAGGTCCACATATCCACTTGCAGAATCCAAAGAAAGAGAGTTTCAAAACTGCTCCATCAGCAGGATTGTTCACCTCTGTGAGTTGAATGCAGTCATCACAGGAAACATTCTGAGAATGCTTCTGTCTAGGTTTGATGTGAAGATATACCCGTTTCGAAGGAAGGCCACAAAGTGGTCCAAGTATCCACTTGCAGATTCTACAAAAAGAGTGTTTGAAAGCTGAACTATGAAAGCAAGGTTCAACTCTGTGAGTTGAATGCAAACATCCAAAGAAGTTTCTCAGAATGCTTCCGTGTAGTTCTGGGAAGTTTATCCCGTTTCCAACGAAATCCTCAGAGAGGTCCAAATATCCACTTGCAGATTCTACAGAAAGTGTGTTTGGAAACTGCGCCATCTAAGGGAATGTTCAGCTCTGTTAGTTCAATCCAATGATCACTAAGAATTGTCTGTGAATGCTTCCGTTTGGTTTTTAGATGAAGTTATTTCCTTTACTACAGTAGGCCTCAAAGCAGTCCAAATCTCCAATCACAGATTCTACAAAAAGATTGTTTACAACCTGCTCTATCTATAAGAATGTTCAACTCTGTGAGTCGAATGCAATCATCACAAAGTAGTTTCTGAGAATGCTTCCATCTAGTTTTTATGTGAAGATTTTCCTTTTGCACCACAGGCCTCAAAGCCCTCCAAATGTCCACTTGCAGATTCTAGAAAAAGAGGGTTTCAGAGCTGCTCTGTCAAGAGGAAAGTTCAATTCTTGAAGTGGAACACAAACATCACAAAGCAGTTTCTGAGAATGCTCCTGTTTAGTTTTTCTGTGAAGATGAACCCGTTTCCAACGAAATCTTCACAGAGGTCCACATATCCACTTGCAGAATCCAAAGAAAGAGAGTTTCAAAACTGCTCCATCAGCAGGATTGTTCACCTCTGTGAGTTGAATGCAGTCATCACAGGAAACATTCTGAGAATGCTTCTGTCTAGGTTTGATGTGAAGATATACCCGTTTCGAAGGAAGGCCACAAAGTGGTCCAAATATCCACTTGCAGATTGTACAAAAAGAGTGTTTGAAAGCTGAACTATGAAAGCAAGGTTCAACTCTGTGAGTTGAATGCAAACATCACAAAGAAGTTTCTCAGAATGCTTCCGTGTAGTTTTGGGAAGTTTATCCCGTTTCCAACGAAATCCTCAGAGAAGTCCAAATATCCACTTGCAGATTCTACAGAAAGTGTGTTTGGAAACTGCGCCATCTAAAGGAATGTTCAGCTCTGTTAGTTCAATGCAATGATCACTAAGAATTGTCTGTGAATGCTTCCGTTTGGTTTTTAGATGAAGTTATTTCCTTTACTACAGTAGGCCTCAAAGCAGTCCAAATCTCCAATCGCAGATTCTACAAAAAGATTGTTTACAACCTGCTCTATCTATAGGAATGTTCAACTCTGTGAGTCGAATGCAATCATCACAAAGTAGTTTCTGAGAATGCTTCCATCTAGTTTTTATGTGAGGATTTTCCTTTTCCACCACAGGCCTCAAAGCCCTCCAAATGTCCACTTGCAGATTCTAGAAAAAGAGGGTTTCAGGGCTGCTCTGTCAAGAGGAAAGTTCAATTCCTGAAGTGGAACACAAACATCACAAAGCAGTTTCTGAGAATGCTCCTGTTTAGTTTTTCTGTGAAGATGAACCCGTTTCCAACGAAATCTTCACAGAGGTCCACATATCCACTTGCAGAGTCCAAAGAAAGAGAGTTTCAAAACTGCTCCATCAGCAGGATTGTTCACCTCTGTGAGTTGAATGCAGTCATCACAGGAAACCTTCTGAGAATGCTTCTGTCTAGGTTTGATGTGAAGATATACCCGTTTCGAAGGAAGGCCACAAAGTGGTCCAAATATCCACTTGCAGATTCTACAAAAAGAGTGTTTGAAAGCTGAACTATGAAAGCAAGGTTCAACTCTGTGAGTTGAATGCAAACATCACAAAGAAGTTTCTCAGAATGCTTCCGTGTAGTTCTGGGAAGTTTATCCCGTTTCCAACGAAATCCTCAGAGAAGTCTAAATATCCACTTGCAGATTCTACAGAAAGTGGGTTTGGAAACTGCTCCATCTAAAGGAATGTTCAGCTCTGTTAGTTCAATCCAATGATCACTAAGAATTGTCTGTGAATGCTTTCGGTTTGGTTTTTAGATGAAGTTATTTCCTTTAGTACCGTAGGCCTCAATGCAGTCCGAATCAGCAATCGCAGATTCTACAAAAAGAGTGTTTACAAACTGATTTCTCCATTGGAAGGTTTAACTCTGTGAGTCGAATGCAATCATCACAAAGTAGATTCTCAGAATGCTTCTATCTAGTTATTATATGCAGATATTTACGTTTCTGCCAAAGGCCCCAAAACCCTCCAAATGTCCACTTGCAGATTCTAGAAAAACAATGTTTCATAGCTGCTCTGTCAAGAGGAAAGGTCAACTCTGCAAGTTGAACACAAATATCACAAAGTTGTTTCTGAGAATGCTTCTGTTTAGTTTTTCTTTGAAGATGAACCCTTTTCCAACGAAATCTTCAAAGAGGTCCACATATCCACTTGCACATTCCAGAGAAAGAGAGATTCAAAACTGCTCCATCAACAGGATTGTTCACCTCTGTGCGTTGAATGCAGTCATCACAGGAAACATTCTGAGAATGCTTCTGTCTAGGTTTGATGTGAAGATATTCCCGTTTCGAAGGAAGGCCACAAAGTGGTCCAAATATCCACTTGCAGATTCTACAAAAAGAGTGTTTGGAAGCTGAACTATGAAAGCAAGGTTCAAGTCTGTGAGTTGAATGCAACATCACAAAGAAGTTTCTGAGAATGCTTGTGTGTGGTTCTGGGATTTTATCCCGTTTCCAACGAAATCCTCAGAGAGGTCCAAATATCCACTTGCAGATTCTAGAGATAGTGTGTTTGGAAACTGCGCCATCTAAAGGAATGTTCAGGTCTCTTAGTTCAATCCAATGATCACAAAGAATTGTCTGTGAATGCTTCCGTTTGGTTTTTAGATGAAGTTATTTCCTTTACTACAGTAGGCCTCAAAGCAGTCCAAATCTCCAATCGCAGATTCTACAAAAAGATTGTTTACAACCTGCTCTATCTATAGGAATGTTCAACTCTGTGAGTCGAATGCAATCATCACAAAGTAGTTTCTGAGAATGCTTCCATCTAGTTTTTATGTGAAGATTTTCCTTTTCCACCACAGGCCTCAAAGCCCTCCAAATGTCCACTTGCAGATTCTAGAAAAAGAGGGTTTCAGAGCTGCTCTGTCAAGAGGAAAGTTCAATTCTTGAAGTGGAACACAAACATCACAAAGCAGTTTCTGAGAATGTTTCTGTTTAGTTTTTCTGTGAAGATGAACCCGTTTCCAACGAAATCTTCACAGAGGTCCACATATCCACTTGCAGAATCCAAAGAAAGAGAGTTTCAAAACTGCTCCATCAGCAGGATTGTTCACCTCTGTGAGTTGAATGCAGTCATCACAGGAAACATTCTGAGAATGCTTCTGTCTAGGTTTGATGTGAAGATATACCCGTTTCGAAGGAAGGCCAGAAAGTGGTCCAAATATCCACTTGCAGATTCTACAAAAAGAGTGTTTGAAAGCTGAACTATGAAAGCAAGGTTCAACTCTGTGAGTTGAATGCAAACATCACAAAGAAGTTTCTCAGAATGCTTCCGTGTAGTTCTGGGAAGTTTATCCCGTTTCCAACGAAATCCTCAGAGAAGTCCAAATATCCACTTGCAGATTCTACAGAAAGTGTGTTTGGAAACTGCTCCATCTAAAGAAATGTTCAGCTCTGTTAGTTCAATGCAATGATCACTAAGAATTGTCTGTGAATGCTTCCGTTTGGTTTTTAGATGAAGTTATTTCCTTTACTACAGTAGGCCTCAAAGCAGTCCAAATCTCCAATCGCAGATTCTACAAAAAGATTGTTTACAACCTGCTCTATCTATAGGAATGTTCAACTCTGTGAGTCGAATGCAATCATCACAAAGTAGTTTCTGAGAATGCTTCCATCTAGTTTTTATGTGAAGATTTTCCTTTTCCACCACATGCCTCAAAGCCCTCCAAATGTCCACTTGCAGATTCTAGAAAAAGAGGGTTTCAGAGCTGCTCTGTCAAGAGGAAAGTTCAATTCCTGAAGTGGAACACAAACATCACAAAGCAGTTTCTGAGAATGCTTCTGTTTAGTTTTTCTGTGAAGATGAACCCGTTTCCAACGAAATCTTCACAGAGGTCCACATATCCACTTGCAGAATCCAAAGAAAGAGAGTTTCAAAACTGCTCCATCAGCAGGATTGTTCACCTCTGTGAGTTGAATGCAGTCATCACAGGAAACATTCTGAGAATGCTTCTGTCTAGGTTTGATGTGAAGATATACCCTTTTCGAAGGAAGGCCACAAAGTGGTCCAAATATCCACTTGCAGATTCTACAAAAAGAGTGTTTGAAAGCTGAACTATGAAAGCAAGGTTCAAATCTGTGAGTTGAATGCAAACATCACAAAGAAGTTTCTCAGAATGCTTCCGTGTAGTTCTGGGAAGTTTATCCCGTTTCCAACGAAATCCTCAGAGAGGTCCAAATATCCACTTGCAGATTCTACAGAAAGTGTGTTTGGAAACTGCGCCATCTAAAGGAATGTTCAGCTCTGTTAGTTCAATGCAATGATCACTAAGGATTGTCTGTGAATGCTTCCGTTTGGTTTTTAGATGAAGTTATTTCCTTTACTACAGTAGGCCTCAAAGCAGTCCAAATCTCCAATCGCAGATTCTACAAAAACATTGTTTACAACCTGCTCTATCTATAGGAATGTTCAACTCTGTGAGTCGAATGCAATCATCACAAAGTAGTTTCTGAGAATGCTTCCATCTAGTTTTTATGTGAAGATTTTCCTTTTCCACCACAGGCCTCAAAGCCCTCCAAATGTCCACTTGCAGATTCTAGAAAAAGAGGGTTTCAGAGCTGCTCTGTCAAGAGGAAAGTTCAATTCTTGAAGTGGAACACAAACATCACAAAGTAGTTTCTGAGAATGCTCCTGTTTAGTTTTTCTGTGAAGATGAACCCGTTTCCAACGAAATCTTCAAAGAGGTCAACATATCCACTTGCAGAATCCAAAGAAAGAGAGTTTCAAAACTGCTCCATCAGCAGGATTGTTCACCTCTGTGAGTTGAATGCAGTCATCACAGGAAACATTCTGAGAATGCTTCTGTCTAGGTTTGATGTGAAGATATACCCGTTTCGAAGGAAGGCCACAAAGTGGTCCAAATATCCACTTTCAGATTCTACAAAAAGAGTGTTTGAAAGCTGAACTATGAAAGCAAGGTTCAACTCTGTGAGTTGAATGCAAACATCACAAAGAAGTTTCTCAGAATGCTTTCGTTTAGTTTTGGGAAGTTTATCCCGTTTCCAACGAAATCCTCAGAGACGTCCAAATATCCACTTGCAGATTCTACAGAAAGTGTGTTTGGAAACTGCGCCATCTAAGGGAATGTTCAGCTCTGTTAGTTCAATCCAATGATCACTAAGAATTGTCTGTGAATGCTTCCGTTTGGTTTTTAGATGAAGTTATTTCCTTTACTACAGTAGGCCTCAAAGCAGTCCAAATCTCCAATCTCAGATTCTACAAAAAGATTGTTTACAACCTGCTCTATCTTTAGGAATGTTCAACTCTGTGAGTCGAATGCAATCATCACAAAGTAGTTTCTGAGAATGCTTCCATCTAGTTTTTATGTGAAGATTTTCCTTTTCCACCACAGGCCTCAAAGCCCTCCAAATGTCCACTTGCAGATTCTAGAATAAGAGGATTTCAGAGCTGCTCTGTCAAGAGGAAAGTTCAATTCCTGAAGTGGAACACAAACATCACAAAGCAGTTTCTGAGAATGCTTCTGTTTAGTTTTTCTGTGAAGATGAACCCGTTTCCAACGAAATCTTCACAGAGGTCCACATATCCACTTGCAGAATCCAAAGAAAGAGAGTTTCAAAACTGCTCCATCAGCAGGATTGTTCACCTCTGTGAGTTGAATGCAGTCATCACAGGAAACATTCTGAGAATGCTTCTGTCTAGGTTTGATGTGAAGATATACCCGTTTCGAAGGAAGGCCACAAAGTGGTCCAAATATCCACTTGCAGATTCTACAAAAAGAGGGTTTGAAAGCTGAACTATGAAAGCAAGGTTCAACTCTGTGAGTTGAATGCAAACATCACAAAGAAGTTTCTCAGAATGCTTCCGTGTAGTTCTGGGAAGTTTATCCCGTTTCCAACGAAATCCTCAGAGAGGTCCAAATATCCACTTGCAGATTCTACAGAAAGTGTGTTTGGAAACTGTGCCATCTAAAGGAATGTTCAGCTCTGTTAGTTCAATCCAATAATCACTAAGAATTGTCTGTGAATGCTTCCGTTTGGTTTTTAGATGAAGTTATTTCCTTTACTACAGTAGGCCTCAAAGCAGTCCAAATCTCCAATCGCAGATTCTACAAAAAGATTGTTTACAACCTGCTCTATCTATAGGAATGTTCAACTCTGTGAGTCGAATGCAATCATCACAAAGTAGTTTCTGAGAATGCTTCCATCTAGTTTTTATGGGAAGATTTTCCTTTTCCACCACAGGCCTCAAAGCCCTCCAAATGTCCACTTGCAGATTCTAGAAAAAGAGGGTTTCAGAGCTGCTCTGTCAAGAGGAAAGTTCAATTCTTGAAGTGGAACACAAACATCACAAAGCAGTTTCTGAGAATGCTCCTGTTTAGTTTTACTGTGAATATGAACCCGTTTCCAACGAAATCTTCACAGAGGTCCACATATCCACTTGCAGAATCCAAAGAAAGAGAGTTTCAAAACTGCTCCATCAGCAGGATTGTTCACCTCTGTGAGTTGAATGCAGTCATCACAGGAAACATTCTGAGAATGCTTCTGTCTAGGTTTGATGTGAAGATATACCCGTTTCGAAGGAAGGCCACAAAGTGGTCCAAATATCCACTTGCAGATTCTACAAAAAGAGTGTTTGAAAGCTGAACTATGAAAGCAAGGTTCAACTCTGTGAGTTGAATGCAAACATCACAAAGAAGTTTCTCAGAATGCTTCCGTGTAGTTCTGGGGAAGTTTATCCCTTTTCCAACAAAATCCTCAGAGAGGTCCAAATATCCACTTGCAGATTCTACAGAAAGTGTGTTTGGAAACTGCTCCATCTAAAGGAATGTTCAGCTCTGTTAGTTCAATCCAATGATCACTAAGAATTGTCTGTGAATGCTTCCGTTTGGTTTTTAGATGAAGTAATTTCCTTTACTACAGTAGGCCTCAAAGCAGTCCAAATCTCCAATCGCAGATTCTACAAAAAGATTGTTTACAACCTGCTCTATCTATAGGAATGTTCAACTCTGGGAGTCGAATGCAATCATCACAAAGAAGTTTCTGAGAATGCTTCCATAAAGTTTTTATGTGAAGATTTTCCTTTTCCACCACAGGCCTCAAAGCCCTCCAAATGTCCACTTGCAGATTCTAGAAAAAGAGGGTTTCAGAGCTGCTCTGTCAAGAGGAAAGTTCAATTCTTGAAGTGGAACACAAACATCACAAAGCAGTTTCTGAGAATGCTCCTGTTTAGTTTTTCTGTGAAGATGAACCCGTTTCCAACGAAATCTACACAGAGGTCCACATATCCACTTGGAGAATCCAAAGAAAGAGAGTTTCAAAACTGCTCCATCAGCAGGATTGTTCACCTCTGTGAGTTGAATGCAGTCATCACAGGAAACATTCTGAGAATGCTTCTGTCTAGGTTTGATGTGAAGATATACCCGTTTCGAAGGAAGGCCACAAAGTGGTCCAAATATCCACTTGCAGATTCTACAAAAAGAGTGTTTGAAAGCTGAACTATGAAAGCAAGGTTCAACTCTGTGAGTTGAATGCAAACATCACAAAGAAGTTTCTCAGAATGCTTCCGTGTAGTTCTGGGAAGTTTATCCCGTTTCCAACGAAATCCTCAGAGGGGTCCAAATATCCAGTTGCAGATTCTACAGAAAGTGTGTTTGGAAACTGCTCCATCTAAAGGAATGTTCAGCTCTGTTAGTTCAATCCAATGATCACTAAGAATTGTCTGTGAATGCTTCCGTTTGGTTTTTAGATGAAGTTATTTCCTTTACTACAGTAGGCCTCAAAGCAGTCCAAATCTCCAATCGCAGATTCTACAAAAACATTGTTTACAACCTGCTCTATCTATAGGAATGTTCAACTCTGTGAGTCGAATGCAATCATCACAAAGTAGTTTCTGAGAATGCTTCCATCTAGTTTTTATGTGAAGATTTTCCTTTTCCACCACAGGCCTCAAAGCCCTCCAAATGTCCACTTGCAGATTCTAGAAAAAGAGGGTTTCAGAGCTGCTCTGTCAAGAGGAAAGTTCAATTCTTGAAGTGGAACACAAACATCACAAAGCAGTTTCTGAGAATGCTCCTGTTTAGTTTTTCTGTGAAGATGAACCCGTTTCCAACGAAATCTTCACAGACGTCCACATATCCACTTGCAGAATCCAAAGAAAGAGAGTTTCAAAACTGCTCCATCAGCAGGATTGTTCACCTCTGTGAGTTGAATGCAGTCATCACAGGAAACATTCTGAGAATGCTTCTGTCTAGGTTTGATGTGAAGATATACCCGTTTCGAAGGAAGGCCACAAAGTGGTCCAAATATCCACTTGCAGATTCTACAAAAAGAGTGTTTGAAAGCTGAACTATGAAAGCAAGGTTCAACTCTGTGAGTTGAATGCAAACATCACAAAGAAGTTTCTCAGAATGCTTCCGTGTAGTTCTGGGAAGTTTATCCCGTTTCCAACGAAATCCTCAGAGAGGTCCAAATATCCACTTGCAGATTCTACAGAAAGTGTGTTTGGAAACTGCGCCATCTAAAGGAATGTTCAGCTCTGTTAGTTCAATCCAATAATCACTAAGAATTGTCTGTGAATGCTTCCGTTTGGTTTTTAGATGAAGTTATTTCCTTTACTACAGTAGGCCTCAAAGCAGTCCAAATCTCCAATCGCAGATTCTACAAAAAGATTGTTTACAACCTGATCTATCTATAGGAATGTTCAACTCTGTGAGTCGAATGCAATCATCACAAAGTAGTTTCTGAGAATGCTTCCATCTAGTTTTTATGTGAAGATTTTCCTTTTCCACCACAGGCCTCAAAGCCCTCCAAATGTCCACTTGCAGATTCTAGTAAAAGAGGGTTTCAGAGCTGCTCTGTCAAGAGGAAAGTTCAATTCTTGAAGTGGAACACAAACATCACAAAGTAGTTTCTGAGAATGCTTCTGTTTAGTTTTTCTGTGAAGATGAACCCGTTTCCAACGAAATCTTCACAGAGGTCCACATATCAACTTGCAGAATCCAAAGAAAGAGAGTTTCAAAAGTGCTCCATCAACAGGATTGTTCACCTCTGTGAGTTGAATGCAGTCATCACAGGAAACATTCTGAGAATGCTTCTGTCTAGGTTTGATGTGAAGATATACCCGTTTCGAAGGAAGGCCACAAAGTGGTCCAAATATCCACTTGCAGATTCTACAAAAAGAGTGTTTGAAAGCTGAACTATGAAAGCAAGGTTCAACTCTGTGAGTTGAATGCAAACATCACAAAGAAGTTTCTCAGAATGCTTCCGTGTAGTTCTGGGAAGTTTATCCCGTTTCCAACGAAATCCTCAGAGAAGTCCAAATATCCACTTGCAGATTCTACAGAAAGTGTGTTTGGAAACTGCGCCATCTAAAGGAATGTTCAGCTCTGTTAGTTCAATGCAATGATCACTAAGAATTGTCTGTGAATGCTTCCGTTTGGTTTTTAGATGAAGTTATTTCCTTTACTACAGTAGGCCTCAAAGCAGTCCAAATCTCCAATCGCAGATTCTACAAAAAGATTGTTTACAACCTGCTCTATCTATAGGAATGTTCAACTCTGTGAGTCGAATGCAATCATCACAAAGTAGTTTCTGAGAATGCTTCCATCTAGTTTTTATGTGAAGATTTTCCTTTTCCACCACAGGCCTCAAAGCCCTCCGAATGTCCACTTGCAGATTCTAGAATAAGAGGGTTTCAGAGCTGCTCTGTCAAGAGGAAAGTTCAATTCCTGAAGTGGAACACAAACTTCACAAAGCAGTTTCTGAGAATGTTTCTTTTTAGTTTTTCTGGGAAGATGAACCCGTTTCCAACCAAATCTTCACAGAGGTCCACATATCCACTTGCAGAATCCAAAGAAAGAGAGTTTCAAAACTGCTCCATCACCAGGATTGTTCACCTCTGTGAGTTGAATGCAGTCATCACAGGAAACATTCTGAGAATGCTTCTGTCTAGGTTTGATGTGAAGATATACCCGTTTCGAAGGAAGGCCACAAAGTGGTCCAAATATCCACTTTCTGTAGATTCTACAAAAAGAGTGTTTGAAAGCTGAACTATGAAAGCAAGGTTCAACTCTGTGAGTTGAATGCAAACATCACAAAGAAGTTTCTCAGAATGCTTCCGTGTAGTTCTGGGAAGTTTATCCCGTTTCCAACGAAATCCTCAGAGAGGTCCAAATATCCACTTGCAGATTCTACAGAAAGTGTGTTTGGAAACTGCGCCATCTACAGGAATGTTCAGCTCTGTTAGTTCAATGCAATGATCACTAAGAATTATCTGTGAATGCTTCCGTTTGGTTTTTAGATGAAGTTATTTCCTTTACTACAGTAGGCCTCAAAGCAGTCCAAATCTCCAATCGCAGATTCTACAAAAAGATTGTTTACAACCTGCTCTATCTATAGGAATGTTCAACTCTGTGAGTCGAATGCAATCATCACAAAGTAGTTTCTGAGAATGCTTCCATCTAGTTTTTATGTGAAGATTTTCCTTTTCCACCACAGGCCTCAAAGCCCTCCAAATGTCCACTTGCAGATTCTAGAATAAGAGGGTTTCAGAGCTGCTCTGTCAAGAGGAAAGTTCAATTCCTGAAGTGGAACACAAACATCACAAAGCAGTTTCTGAGAATGCTCCTGTTTAGTTTTTCTGTGAAGATGAACCCGTTTCCAACGAAATCTTCAGAGAGGTCCACATATCCACTTGCAGAATCCAAAGAAAGAGAGTTTCAAAACTGCTCCATCAGCAGGATTGTTCACCTCTGTGAGTTGAATGCAGTCATCACAGGAAAACATTCTGAGAATGCTTCTGTCTAGGTTTGATGTGAAGATATACCCGTTTCGAAGGAAGGCCACAAAGTGGTCCAAATATCCACTTGCAGATTCTACAAAAAGAGTGTTTGAAAGCTGAACTATGAAAGCAAGGTTCAACTCTGTGAGTTGAATGCAAACATCACAAAGAAGTTTCTCAGAATGCTTCCCTGTAGTTCTGGGAAGTTTATCCCGTTTCCAACGAAATCCTCAGAGAAGTCCAAATATCCACTTGCAGATTCTACAGAAAGTGTGTTTGGAATATGCTCCATCTAAAGGAATGTTCAGCTCCGTTAGTTCAATCCAATGATCACTAAGAATTGTCTGTGAATGCTTCCGTTTGGTTTTTAGATGAAGTTATTTCCTTTACTACAGTAGGCCTCAAAGCAGTCCAAATCTCCAATCGCAGATTCTACAAAAAGATTGTTTACAACCTGCTCTATCTATAGGAATGTTCAACTCTGTGAGTCGAATGCAATCATCACAAAGTAGTTTCTGAGAATGCTTCCATCCAGTTTTTATGTGAAGATTTTCCTTTTCCACCACAGGCCTCAAAGCCCTCCAAATGTCCACTTGCAGATTCTAGAAAAAGAGGGTTTCAGAGCTGCTCTGTCAAGAGGAAATTTCAATTCTTGAAGTGGAACACAAACATCACAAAGCAGTTTGCTGAGAATGCTTCTGTTTAGTTTTTCTGTGAAGATGAACCCGTTTCCAACGAAATCTTCACAGAGGTCCACATATCAACTTGCAGAATCCAAAGAAAGAGAGTTTCAAAACTGCTCCATCAACAGGATTGTTCACCTCTGTGAGTTGAATGCAGTCATCACAGGAAACATTCTGAGAATGCTTCTGTCTAGGTTTGATGTGAAGATATACCCGTTTCGAAGGAAGGCCACAAAGTGGTCCAAATATCCACTTGCAGATTCTACAAAAAGAGTGTTTGAAAGCTGAACTATGAAAGCAAGGTTCAACTCTGTGAGTTGAATGCAAACATCACAAAGAAGTTTCTCAGAATGCTTCCGTGTAGTTCTGGGAAGTTTATCCCGTTTCCAACGAAATCCTCAGAGAGGTCCAAATATCCACTTGCAGATTCTACAGAAAGTGTGTTTGGAAACTGCTCCATCTAAAGGAATGTTCAGCTCTGTTAGTTCAATCCAATGATCACTAAGAATTGTCTGTGAATGCTTCCGTTTGGTTTTTAGATGAAGTTATTTCCTTTACTACAGTAGGCCTCAAAGCAGTCCAAATCTCCAATCGCAGATTCTACAAAAAGATTGTTTACAACCTGCTCTATGTATAGGAATGTTCAACTCTGTGAGTCGAATGCAATCATCACAAAGTAGTTTCTGAGAATGCTTCCATCTAGTTTTTATGTGAAGATTTTCCTTTTCCACCACAGGCCTCAAAGCCCTCCAAATGTCCACTTGCAGATTCTAGAATAAGAGGGTTTCAGAGCTGCTCTGTCAAGAGGAAAGTTCAATTCTTGAAGTGGAACACAAACATCACAAAGCAGTTTCTGAGAATGCTTCTGTTTAGTTTTTCTGTGAAGATGAACCCGTTTCCAACGAAATCTTCACAGAGGTCCACATATCCACTTGCAGAATCCAAAGAAAGAGAGTTTCAAAACTGCTCCATCAGCAGGATTGTTCACCTCTGTGAGTTGAATGCAGTCATCACAGGAAACATTCTGAGAATGCTTCTGTCTAGGTTTGATGTGAAGATATACCCGTTTCGAAGGAAGGCCACAAAGTGGTCCAAATATCCACTTGCAGATTCTACAAAAAGAGTGTTTGAAAGCTGAACTATGAAAGCAAGGTTCAACTCTGTGAGTTGCATGCAAACATCACAAAGAAGTTTCTCAGAATGCTTCCTTGTAGTTCTGGGAAGTTTATCCCGTTTCCAACGAAATCCTCAGAGAAGTCCAAATATCCACTTGCAGATTCTACAGAAAGTGGGTTTGGAAACTGCTCCATCTAAAGGAATGTTCAGCTCTGTTAGTTCAAAGCAATGATCACTAAGAATTGTTTGTGAATGCTTCCGTTTGATTTTTAGATGAAGTTATTTCCTTTACTACAGTAGGCCTCAAAGCAGTCCAAATCTCCAATCGCAGATTCTACAAAAAGATTGTTTACAACCTGCTCTATCTATAGGAATGTTCAACTCTGTGAGTCGAATGCAATCATCACAAAGTAGTTTCTTAGAATGCTTCCATCTAGTTTTTATGTGAAGATTTTCCTTTTCCACCACAGGCCTCAAAGCCCTCCAAATGTCCACTTGCAGATTCTAGAATAAGAGGGTTTCAGAGCTGCTCTGTCAAGAGGAAAGTTCAATTCCTGAAGTGGAACACAAACATCACAAAGCAGTTTCTGAGAATGCTTCTGTTTAGTTTTTCTGTGAAGATGAACCCGTTTCCAACGAAATCTTCACAGAGGTCCACATATCCACTTGCAGAATCCAAAGAAAGAGAGTTTCAAAACTGCTCCATCAGCAGGATTGTTCACCTCTGTGAGTTGAATGCAGTCATCACAGGAAACATTCTGAGAATGCTTCTGTCTAGGTTTGATGTGAAGATATACCCGTTTCGAAGGAAGGCCACAAAGTGGTCCAAATATCCACTTGCAGATTCTACAAAAAGAGTGTTTGAAAGCTGAACTATGAAAGCAAGGTTCAACTCTGTGAGTTGAATGCAAACATCACAAAGAAGTTTCTCACAATGCTTCCCTGTAGTTCTGGGAAGTTTATCCCGTTTCCAACGAAATCCTCAGAGAAGTCCAAATATCCACTTGCAGATTCCACAGAAAGTGGGTTTGGAAACTGCTCCATCTAAAGGAATGTTCAGCTCTGTTAGTTCAATCCAATGATCACTAAGAATTGTCTGTGAATGCTTCCGTTTGGTTTTTAGATGAAGTAATTTCCTTTACTACAGTAGGCCTCAAAGCAGTCCAAATCTCCAATCGCAGATTCTACAAAAAGATTGTTTACAACCTGCTCTATCTATAGGAATGTTCAACTCTGTGAGTCGAATGCAATCATCACAAAGTAGTTTCTGAGAATGCTTCCATCTAGTTTTCATGTGAAGATTTTCCTTTTCCACCACAGGCCTCAAAGCCCTCCAAATGTCCACTTGCAGATTCTAGAAAAAGAGGGTTTCAGAGCTGCTCTGTCAAGAGGAAAGTTCAATTCTTGAAGTGGAACACAAACATCACAAAGCAGTTTCTGAGAATGCTCCTGTTTAGTTTTTCTGTGAAGATGAACCCGTTTCCAACGAAATCTTCACAGAGGTCCACATATCCACTTGCAGAATCCAAAGAAAGAGAGTTTCAAAACTGCTCCATCAGCAGGATTGTTCACCTCTGTGAGTTGAATGCAGTCATCACAGGAAACATTCTGAGAATGCTTCTGTCTAGGTTTGATGTGAAGATATACCCGTTTCGAAGGAAGGCCACAAAGTGGTCAAATATCCACTTGTAGATCCTACAAAAAGAGTGTTTGAAAGCTGAACTATGAAAGCAAGGTTCAACTCTGTGAGTTGAATGCAAACATCACAAAGAAGTTTCTCAGAATGCTTCCGTGTAGTTCTGGGAAGTTTATCCCGTTTCCAACGAAATCCTCAGAGAAGTCCAAATATCCACTTGCAGATTCTACAGAAAGTGGGTTTGGAAACTGCTCCATCTAAAGGAATGTTCAGCTCTGTTAGTTCAATGCAATGATCACTAAGAATTGTCTGTGAATGCTTCCGTTTGGTTTTTAGATGAAGTTATTTCCTTTACTACAGTAGGCCTCAAAGCAGTCCAAATCTCCAATCGCAGATTCTACAAAAAGATTGTTTACAACCTGCTCTATCTATAGGAATGTTCAACTCTGTGAGTCGAATGCAATCATCACAAAGTAGTTTCTGAGAATGCTTCCATCTAGTTTTTATGTGAAGATTTTCCTTTTCCACCACAGGCCTCAAAGCCCTCCAAATGTCCACTTGCAGATTCTAGAAAAAGAGGGTTTCAGAGCTGCTCTGTCAAGAGGAAAGTTCAATTCTTGAAGTGGAACACAAACATCACAAAGTAGTTTCTGAGAATGCTTCTGTTTAGTTTTTCTGTGAAGATGAACCCGTTTCCAACG
Source organism: Homo sapiens (assembly GCF_000001405.40). NCBI lineage: Eukaryota > Metazoa > Chordata > Mammalia > Primates > Hominidae > Homo > Homo sapiens. The sequence continues at coordinate 51,709,310 of NC_000011.10, read as the reverse complement.
AAATCTTCACAGAGGTCCACATATCAACTTGCAGAATCCAAAGAAAGAGATTTTCAAAAGTGCTCCATCAGCAGGATTGTTCACCTCTGTGAGTTGAATGCAGTCATCACAGGAAACATTCTGAGAGTGCTTCTGTCTAGGTTTGATGTGAAGATATACCCGTTTCGAAGGAAGGCCACAAAGTGGTCCAAATATCCACTTGCAGATTCTACAAAAAGAGTGTTTGAAAGCTGAACTATGAAAGCAAGGTTCAACTCTGTGAGTTGAATGCAAACATCACAAAGAAGTTTCTCAGAATGCTTCCGTGTAGTTCTGGGAAGTTTATCCCGTTTCCAACGAAATCCTCAGAGAAGTCCAAATATCCACTTGCAGATTCTACAGAAAGTGTGTTTGGAAACTGCTCCATCTAAAGGAATGTTCAGCTCTGTTAGTTCAATCCAATGATCACTAAGAATTGTCTGTGAATGCTTCCGTTTGGTTTTTAGATGCAGTTATTTCCTTTACTACAGTAGGCCTCAAAGCAGTCCAAATCTCCAATCGCAGATTCTAGAAAACGATTGTTTACAACCTGCTCTATCTATAGGAATGTTCAACTCTGTGAGTCAAATGCAATCATCAAAAAGTAGTTTCTGAGAATGCTTCCATCTAGTTTTTATGTGAAGATTTTCCTTTTCCACCACAGGCCTCAAAGCCCTCCAAATGTCCACTTGCAGATTCTAGAATAAGAGGGTTTCAGAGCTGCTCTGTCAAGAGGAAAGTTCAATTCTTGAAGTGGAACACAAACATCACAAAGCAGTTTCTGAGAATGCTTCTGTTTAGTTTTTCTGTGAAGATGAACCCGTTTCCAACGAAATCTACACAGAGGTCCACATATCCACTTGCAGAATCCAAAGAAAGAGAGTTTCAAAACTGCTCCATCAGCAGGATTGTTCACCTCTGTGAGTTGAATGCAGTCATCACAGGAAACATTCTGAGAATGCTTCTGTCTAGGTTTGATGTGAAGATATACCCGTTTCGAAGGAAGGCCACAAAGTGGTCCAAATATCCACTTGCAGATTCTACAAAAAGAGTGTTTGAAAGCTGAACTATGAAAGCAAGGTTCAACTCTGTGAGTTGAATGCAAACATCACAAAGAAGTTTCTCAGAATGCTTCCGTGTAGTTCTGGGAAGTTTATCCCGTTTCCAACGAAATCCTCAGAGAAGTCCAAATATCCACTTGCAGATTCTACAGAAAGTGGGTTTGGAAACTGCTCCATCTAAAGGAATGTTCAGCTCTGTTAGTTCAATCCAATGATCACTAAGAATTGTCTGTGAATGCTTCCGTTTGGTTTTTAGATGAAGTTATTTCCTTTACTACAGTAGGCCTCAAAGCAATCCAAATCTCCAATCGCAGATTCTACAAAAACATTGTTTACAACCTGCTCTATCTATAGGAATGTTCAACTCTGTGAGTCGAATGCAATCATCACAAAGTAGTTTCTGAGAATGCTTCCATCTAGTTTTTATGTGAAGATTTTCCTTTTCCACCACAGGCCTCAAAGCCCTCCAAATGTCCACTTGCAGATTCTAGAAAAAGAGGGTTTCAGAGCTGCTCTGTCAAGAGGAAAGTTCAATTCTTGAAGTGGAACACAAACATCACAAAGCAGTTTCTGAGAATGCTTCTGTTTAGTTTTTCTGTGAAGATGAACCCGTTTCCAACGAAATCTTCACAGAGGTCCACATATCCACTTGCAGAATCCAAAGAAAGAGAGTTTCAAAACTGCTCCATCAGCAGGATTGTTCACCTCTGTGAGTTGAATGCAGTCATCACAGGAAACATTCTGAGAATGCTTCTGTCTAGGTTTGATGTGAAGATATACCCGTTTCGAAGGAAGGCCACAAAGTGGTCCAAATATCCACTTGCAGATTCTACAAAAAGAGTGTTTGAAAGCTGAACTATGAAAGCAAGGTTCAACTCTGTGAGTTGAATGCAAACATCACAAAGAAGTTTCTCAGAATGCTTCCGTGTAGTTCTGGGAAGTTTATCCCGTTTCCAACGAAATCCTCAGAGAAGTCCAAATATCCACTTGCAGATTCTACAGAAAGTGTGTTTGGAAACTGCGCCATCTAAAGGAATGTTCAGCTCTGTTAGTTCAATGCAATGATCACTAAGAATTGTCTGTGAATGCTTCCGTTTGGTTTTTAGATGAAGTTATTTCCTTTACTACAGTAGGCCTCAAAGCAGACCAAATCTCCAATCGCAGATTCTACAAAAAGATTGTTTACAACCTGCTCTATCTATAGGAATGTTCAACTCTGTGAGTCGAATGCAATCATCACAAAGTAGTTTCTGAGAATGCTTCCATCTAGTTTTTATGTGAAGATTTTCCTTTTCCACCACAGGCCTCAAAGCCCTCCAAATGTCCACTTGCAGATTCTAGAAAAAGAGGGTTTCAGAGCTGCTCTGTCAAGAGGAAAGTTCAATTCCTGAAGTGGAACACAAACATCACAAAGCAGTTTCTGAGAATGCTTCTGTTTAGTTTTTCTGTGAAGATGAACCCGTTTCCAACGAAATCTTCACAGAGGTCCACATATCCACTTGCAGAATCCAAAGAAAGAGAGTTTCAAAACTGCTCCATCAACAGGATTGTTCACCTCTGTGAGTTGAATGCAGTCATCACAGGAAACATTCTGAGAATGCTTCTGTCTAGGTTTGATGTGAAGATATACCCGTTTCGAAGGAAGGCCAGAAAGTGGTCCAAATATCCACTTGCAGATTCTACAAAAAGAGTGTTTGAAAGCTGAACTATGAAAGCAAGGTTCAACTCTGTGAGTTGAATGCAAACATCACAAAGAAGTTTCTCAGAATGCTTCTGTGTAGTTCTGGGAATTTTATCCCGTTTCCAACGAAATCCTCAGAGAGGTCCAAATATCCTGTTGCAGATTCTACAGAAAGTGTGTTTGGAAACTGTGCCATCGAAAGGAATGTTCAGCTCTGTTAGTTCAATCCAATGATCACTAAGAATTGTCTGTGAATGCTTCCGTTTGGTTTTTAGATGAAGTTATTTCCTTTACTACAGTAGGCCTCAAAGCAGTCCAAATCTCCAATCGCAGATTCTACAAAACGATTGTTTACAACCTGCTCTATCTATAGGAATGTTCAACTCTGTGAGTCGAATGCAATCATCACAAAGTAGTTTCTGAGAATGCTTCCATCTAGTTTTTATGTGAAGATTTTCCTTTTCCACCACAGGCCTCAAAGCCCTCCAAATGTCCACTTGCAGATTCTAGAAAAAGAGGGTTTCAGAGCTGCTCTGTCAAGAGGAAAGTTCAATTCTTGAAGTGGAACACAAACATCACAAAGCAGTTTCTGAGAATGTTTCTGTTTAGTTTTTCTGTGAAGATGAACCCGTTTCCAACGAAATCTTCACAGAGGTCCACATATCCACTTGCAGAATCCAAAGAAGGAGAGTTTCAAAACTGCTCCATCAACAGGATTGTTCACCTCTGTGAGTTGAATGCAGTCATCACAGGAAACATTCTGAGAATGCTTCTGTCTAGGTTTGATGTGAAGATATACCCGTTTCGAAGGAAGGCCACAAAGTGGTCCAAATATCCACTTGCAGATTCTACAAAAAGAGTGTTTGAAAGCTGAACTAAGAAAGCAAGGTTCAACTCTGTGAGTTGAAAGCAAACATCACAAAGAAGTTTCTCAGCATGCTTCCGTGTAGTTCTGGGAAGTTTATCCCGTTTCCAACGAAATCCTCAGAGAAGTCCAAATATCCACTTGCAGATTCTACAGAAAGTGTGTTTGGAAACTGCGCCATCTAAAGGAATGTTCAGCTCTGTTAGTTCAATCCAATGATCACTAAGAATTGTCTGTGAATGCTTCCGTTTGGTTTTTAGATGAAGTTATTTCCTTTACTACAGTAGGCCTCAAAGCAGTCCAAATCTCCAATCGCAGATTCTACAAAAAGATTGTTTACAACCTGCTCTATCTATAGGAATGTTCAACTCTGTGAGTCGAATGCAATCATCACAAAGTAGTTTCTGAGAATGCTTCCATCTAGTTTGTATGTGAAGATTTTCCTTTTCCACCACAGGCCTCAAAGCCCTCCAAATGTCCACTTGCAGATTCTAGAATAAGAGCGTTTCAGAGCTGCTCTGTCAAGAGGAAAGTTCAATTCCTGAAGTGGAACACAAACATCACAAAGCAGTTTCTGAGAATACTTCTGTTTAGTTTTTCTGTGAAGATGAACCCGTTTCCAACGAAATCTTCACAGAGGTCCACATATCCACTTGCAGAATCCAAAGAAAGAGAGTTTCAAAACTGCTCCATCAGCAGGATTGTTCACCTCTGTGAGTTGAATGCAGTCATCACAGGAAACATTCTGAGAATGCTTCTGTCTAGGTTTGATGTGAAGATATACCCGTTTCGAAGGAAGGCCACAAAGTGGTCCAAATATCCACTTGCAGATTCTACAAAAAGAGTGTTTGAAAGCTGAACTATGAAAGCAAGGTTCAACTCTGTGAGTTGAATGCAAACATCACAAAGAAGTTTCTCACAATGCTTCCGTGTAGTTCTGGGAAGTTTATCCCGTTTCCAACGAAATCCTCAGAGAGGTCTAAATATCCACTTGCAGATTCTACAGAAAGTGTGTTTGGAAACTGCGCCATCTAAAGGAATGTTCAGCTCTGTTAGTTCAATGCAATGATCACTAAGAATTGTCTGTGAATGCTTCCGTTTGGTTTTTAGATGAAGTTATTTCCTCTACTACAGTAGGCCTCAAAGCAGTCCAAATCTCCAATCGCAGATTCTACAAAAAGATTGTTTACAACCTGCTCTATCTATAGGAATGTTCAACTCTGTGAGTCGAATGCAATCATCACAAAGTAGTTTCTGAGAATGCTTCCATCTAGTTTTTATGTGAAGATTTTCCTTTTCCACCACAGGCCTCAAAGCCCTCCAAATGTCCACTTGCAGATTCTAGAAAAAGAGGGTTTCAGAGCTGCTCTGTCAAGAGGAAAGTTCAATTCTTGAAGTGGAACACAAACATCACAAAGCAGTTTCTGAGAATGCTTCCTGTTTAGTTTTTCTGTGAAGATGAACCCGTTTCCAACGAAATCTTCACAGAGGTCCACATATCCACTTGCAGAATCCAAAGAAAGAGAGTTTCAAAACTGCTCCATCAGCAGGATTGTTCACCTCTGTGAGTTGAATGCAGTCATCACAGGAAAACATTCTGAGAATGCTTCTGTCTAGGTTTGATGTGAAGATATACCCGTTTCGAAGGAAGGCCCCAAAGTGGTCCAAATATCCACTTGCAGATTCTACAAAAAGAGTGTTTGAAAGCTGAACTATGAAAGCAAGGTTCAACTCTGTGAGTTGAATGCAAACATCACAAAGAAGTTTCTCACAATGCTTCCGTGTAGTTCTGGGAAGTTTATCCCGTTTCCAACGAAATCCTCAGAGAAGTCCAAATATCCACTTGCAGATTCTACAGAAAGTGTGTTTGGAAACTGCGCCATCTAAAGGAATGTTCAGCTCTGTTAGTTCAATGCAATGATCACTAAGAATTGTCTGTGAATGCTTCCGTTTGGTTTTTAGATGAAGTTATTTAATTTACTACAGTAGGCCTCAAAGCAGTCCAAATCTCCAATCGCAGATTCTACAAAAAGATTGTTTACAACCTGCTCTATCTATAGGAATGTTCAACTCTGTGAGTCGAATGCAATCATCCCAAAGTAGTTTCTGAGAATGCTTCCATCTAGTTTTTATGTGAAGATTTTCCTTTTCCACCACAGGCCTCAAAGCCCTCCAAATGTCCACTTGCAGATTCTAGCATAAGAGGGTTTCAGAGCTGCTCTGTCAAGAGGAAAGTTCAATTCCTGAAGTGGAACACAAACATCACAAAGCAGTTTCTGAGAATGCTTCTGTTTAGTTTTTCTGTGAAGATGAACCCGTTTCCAACGAAATCTTCACAGAGGTCCACATATCCACTTGCAGAATCCAAAGAAAGAGAGTTTCAAAACTGCTCCATCAGCAGAATTGTTCACCTCTGTGAGTTGAATGCAGTCATCACAGGAAACATTCTGAGAATGCTTCTGTCTAGGTTTGATGTGAAGATATACCCGTTTCGAAGGAAGGCCACAAAGTGATCCAAATATCCACTTGCAGATTCTACAAAAAGAGTGTTTGAAAGCTGAACTATGAAAGCAAGGTTCAACTCTGTGAGTTGAATGCAAACATCACAAAGAAGTTTCTCAGAATGCTTCCGTGTAGTTCTGGGAAGTTTATCCCGTTTCCAACGAAATCCTCGGAGAAGTCCAAATATCCACTTGCAGATTCTACAGAAAGTGGGTTTGGAAACTGCTCCATCTAAAGGAATGTTCAGCTCTGTTAGTTCAATGCAATGATCACTAAGAATTGTCTGTGAATGCTTCCGTTTGGTTTTTAGATGAAGTTATTTCCTTTACTACAGTAGGCCTCAAAGCAGTCCAAATCTCCAATCGCAGATTCTACAAAAAGATTGTTTACAACCTGCTGTATCTATAGGAATGTTCAACTCTGTGAGTCGAATGCAATCATCACAAAGTAGTTTCTGAGAATGCTTCCATCTAGTATTTATGTGAAGATTTTCCATTTCCACCACAGGCCTCAAAGCCCTCCAAATGTCCACTTGCAGATTCTAGAAAAAGAGGGTTTCAGAGCTGCTCTGTCAAGAGGAAAGTTCAATTCCTGAAGTGGAACACAAATATCACAAAGCAGTTTCTGAGAATGCTTCTGTTTAGTTTTTCTGTGAAGATGAACCCGTTTCCAACGAAATCTTCACAGAGGTCCACATATCCACTTGCAGAATCCAAAGAAAGAGAGTTTCAAAACTGCTCCATCAGCAGGATTGTTCACCTCTGTGAGTTGAATGCAGTCATCACAGGCAACATTCTGAGAAGGCTTCTGTCTAGGTTTGATGTGAAGATATACCTGTTTCGAAGGAAGGCCACAAAGTGGTCCAAATATCCACTTGCAGATTCTACAAAAAGAGTGTTTGAAAGCTGAACTATGAAAGCAAGGTTCAACTCTGTGAGTTGAATGCAAACATCACAAAGAAGTTTCTCAGAATGCTTCCGTGTAGTTCTGGGAAGTTTATCCCGTTTCCAACGAAATCCTCAGAGAAGTCCAAATATCCACTTGCAGATTCTACAGAAAGTGGGTTTGGAAACTGCTCCATCTAAAGGAATGATCAGCTCTGTTAGTTCAATCCAATGATCACTAAGAATTGTCTGTGAATGCTTCCGTTTGGTTTTTAGATGAAGTAATTTCCTTTACTACAGTAGGCCTCAAAGCAGTCCAAATCTCCAATCGCAGATTCTACAAAAAGATTGTTTACAACCTGCTCTATCTATAGGAATGTTCAACTCTGTGAGTCGAATGCAATCATCACAAAGAAGTTTCTGAGAATGCTTCCATAAAATTTTTATGTGAAGATTTTCCTTTTCCACCACAGGCCTCAAAGCCCTCCAAATGTCCACTTGCAGATTCTAGAAAAAGAGGGTTTCAGAGCTGCTCTGTCAAGAGGAAAGTTCAATTCTTTAAGTGGAACACAAACATCACAAAGCAGTTTCTGAGAATGCTCCTGTTTAGTTTTTCTGTGAAGATGAACCCGTTTCCAACGAAATCTTCACAGGGGTCCACATATCCACTTGCAGAATCCATAGAAAGAGAGTTTCAAAACTGCTCCATCAGCAGGATTGTTCACCTCTGTGAGTTGAATGCAGTCATCACAGGAAACATTCTGAGAATGCTTCTGTCTAGGTTTGATGTGAAGATATACCCGTTTCGAAGGAAGGCCACAAAGTGGTCCAAATATCCACTTGCAGATTCTACAAAAAGAGTGTTTGAAAGCTGAACTATGAAAGCAAGGTTCAACTCTGTGAGTTGAATGCAAACATCACAAAGAAGTTTCTCACAATGCTTCCGTGTAGTTCTGGGAAGTTTATCCCGTTTCCAACGAAATCCTCAGAGAGGTCCAAATATCCAGTTGCAGATTCTACAGAAAGTGTGTTTGGAATCTGCTCCATCTAAAGGAATGTTCAGCTCTGTTAGTTCAATCCAATGATCACTAAGAATTGTCTGTGAATGCTTCCGTTTGGTTTTTAGATGAAGTTATTTCCTTTACTACAGTAGGCCTCAAAGCAGTCCAAATCTCCAATCGCAGATTCTACAAAAAGATTGTTTTCAACCTGCTCTATCTATAGGAATGTTCAACTCTGTGAGTCGAATGCAATCATCACAAAGTAGTTTCTGAGAATGCTTCCATCTAGTTTTTATGTGAAGATTTTCCTTTTCCACCACAGGCCTCAAAGCCCTCCAAATGTCCACTTGCAGATTCTAGAAAAAGAGGGTTTCAGAGCTGCTCTGTCAAGAGGAAAGTTCAATTCTTGAAGTGGAACACAAACATCACAAAGCAGTTTCTGAGAATGCTTCTGTTTAGTTTTTCTGTGAAGATGAACCCGTTTCCAACGAAATCTTCACAGAGGTCCACATATCCACTTGCAGAATCCAAAGAAAGAGAGTTTCAAAACTGCTCCATCAACAGGATTGTTCACCTCTGTGAGTTGAATGCAGTCATCACAGGAAACATTCTGAGAATGCTTCTGTCTAGGTTTGATGTGAAGATATACCCGTTTCGAAGGAAGGCCACAAAGTGGTCCAAATATCCACTTGCAGATTCTACAAAAAGAGTGTTTGAAAGCTGAACTATGAAAGCAAGGTTCAACTCTGTGAGTTGAATGCAAACATCACAAAGAAGTTTCTCAGAATGCTTCCGTGTAGTTCTGGGAAGTTTATCCCGTTTCCAACGAAATCCTCAGAGAAGTCCAAATATCCACTTGCAGATTCTACAGAAAGTGGGTTTGGAAACTGCTCCATCTAAAGGAATGTTCAGCTCTGTTAGTTCAATGCAATGATCACTAAGAATTGTCTGTGAATGCTTCCGTTTGGTTTTTAGATGAAGTTATTTCCTTTACTACAGTAGGCCTCAAAGCAGTCCAAATCTCCAATCGCAGATTCTACAAAAACATTGTTTACAACCTGCTCTATCTATAGGAATGTTCAACTCTGTGAGTCGAATGCAATCATCACAAAGTAGTTTCTGAGAATGCTTCCATCTAGTTTTTATGTGAAGATTTTCCTTTTCCACCACAGGCCTCAAAGCCCTCCAAATGTCCACTTGCAGATTCTAGAATAAGAGGGTTTTAGAGCTGCTCTGTCAAGAGGAAAGTTCAATTCCTGAAGTGGAACACAAACATCACAAAGCAGTTTCTGAGAATGCTCCTGTTTAGTTTTTCTGTGAAGATGAACCCGTTTCCAACGAAATCTTCACAGAGGTCCACATATCCACTTGCAGAATCCAAAGAAAGAGAGTTTCAAAACTGCTCCATCAGCAGGATTGTTCACCTCTGTGAGTTGAATGCAGTCATCACAGGAAACATTCTGAGAATGCTTCTGTCTAGGTTTGATGTGAAGATATACCCGTTTCGAAGGAAGGCCACAAAGTGGTTCAAATATCCACTTGCAGATTCTACAAAAAGAGTGTTTGAAAGCTGAACTATGAAAGCAAGGTTCAACTCTGTGAGTTGAATGCAAACATCACAAAGAAGTTTCTCAGAATGCTTCCGTGTAGTTCTGGGAAGTTTATCCCGTTTCCAACGAAATCCTCAGAGAAGTCCAAATATCCACTTGCAGATTCTACAGAAAGTGTGTTTGGAAAATGCTCCATCTAAAGGAATGTTCAGCTCTGTTAGTTCAATGCAATGATCACTAAGAATTGTCTGTGAATGCTTCCGTTTGGTTTTTAGATGAAGTTATTTCCTTTACTACAGTAGGCCTCAAAGCAGTCCAAATCTCCAATCGCAGATTCTACAAAAAGATTGTTTACAACCTGCTCTATCTATAGGAATGTTCAACTCTGTGAGTCGAATGCAATCATCACAAAGTAGTTTCTGAGAATGCTTCCATCTAGTTTTTATGTGAAGAGCTTTCCTTTTCCACCACAGGCCTCAAAGCCCTCCAAATGTCCACTTGCAGATTCTAGAATAAGAGGTTTTCAGAGCTGCTCTGTCAAGAGGAAAGTTCAATTCCTGAAGTGGAACAAAAACATCACAAAGCAGTTTCTGAGAATGCTTCTGTTTAGTTTTTCTGTGAAGATGAACCCGTTTCCAACGAAATCTTCACAGAGGTCCACATATCCACTTGCAGAATCCAAAGAAAGAGAGTTTCAAAACTGCTCCATCAGCAGGATTGTTCACCTCTGTGAGTTGAATGCAGTCATCACAGGAAACATTCTGAGAATGCTTCTGTCTAGGTTTGATGTGAAGATATACCCGTTTCCAAGGAAGGCCACAAAGTGGTCCAAATATCCACTTGCAGATTCTACAAAAAGAGTGTTTGAAAGCTGAACTATGAAAGCAAGGTTCAACTCTGTGAGTTGAATGCAAACATCACAAAGAAGTTTCTCAGAATGCTTCCGTGTAGTTCTGGGAAGTTTATCCCGTTTCCAACGAAATCCTCAGAGAAGTCCAAATATCCACTTGCAGATTCTACAGAAAGTGTGTTTGGAAAATGCTCCATCTAAAGGAATGTTCAGCTCTGTTAGTTCAATCCAATGATCACTAAGAATTGTCTGTGAATGCTTCCATTTGGTTTTTAGATGAAGTTATTTCCTTTACTACAGTAGGCCTCAAAGCAGTCCAAATCTCCAATCGCAGATTCTACAAAAAGATTGTTTACAACCTGCTCTATCTATAGGAATGTTCAACTCTGTGAGTCGAATGCAATCATCACAAAGTAGTTTCTGAGAATGTTTCCATCTAGTTTTTATGTGAAGATTTTCCTTTTCCACCACAGGCCTCAAAGCCCTCCAAATGTCCACTTGCAGATTCTAGAAAAAGAGGGTTTCAGAGCTGCTCTGTCAAGAGGAAAGTTCAATTCTTGAAGTGGAACACAAACATCACAAAGCAGTTTCTGAGAATGCTCCTGTTTAGTTTTTCTGTGAAGATGAACCCGTTTCCAACGAAATCTTCACAGAGGTCCACATATCCACTTGCAGAATCCAAAGAAAGAGAGTTTCAAAACTGCTCCATCAACAGGATTGTTCACCTCTGTGAGTTGAATGCAGTCATCACAGGAAACATTCTGAGAATGCTTCTGTCTAGGTTTGATGTGAAGATATACCCGTATCGAACGAAGGCCACAAGGTGGTCCAAATATCCACTTGCAGATTCTACAAAAAGAGTGTTTGAAAGCTGAACTATGAAAGCAAGGTTCAACCCTGTGAGTTGAATGCAAACATCACAAAGAAGTTTCTCAGAATGCTTCCGTGTAGTTCTGGGAAGTTTATCCCGTTTCCAACGAAATCCTCAGAGAGGTCCAAATATCCACTTGCAGATTCTACAGAAAGTGTGTTTGGAAACTGCTCCATCTAAAGGAATGTTCAGCTCTGTTAGTTCAATCCAATGATCACTAAGAATTGTCTGTGAATGCTTCCGTTCGGTTTTTACATGAAGTTATTTCCTTTACTACAGTAGGCCTCAAAGCAGTCCAAATCTCCAATCGCAGATTCTACAAAAAGATTGTTTACAACCTGCTCTATCTATAGGAATGTTCAACTCTGTGAGTCGAATGCAATCATCACAAAGTAGTTTCTGAGAATGCTTCCATCTAGTTTTTATGTGAAGATTTTCCTTTTCCACCACTGGCCTCAAAGCCCTCCAAATGTCCACTTGCAGATTCTAGAATAAGAGGGTTTCAGAGCTGCTCTGTCAAGAGGAAAGTTCAATTCCTGAAGTGGAACACAAAAATCACAAAGCAGTTTCTGAGAATGCTTCTGTTTAGTTTTTCTCTGAAGATGAACCCGTTTCCAACGAAATCTTCACAGAGGTCCACATATCAACTTGCAGAATCCAAAGAAAGAGAGTTTCAAAAGTGCTCCATCAACAGGATTGTTCACCTCTGTGAGTTGAATGCAGTCATCACAGGAAACATTCTGAGAATGCTTCTGTCTAGGTTTGATGTGAAGATATACCCGTTTCGAAGGAAGGCCACAAAGTGGTCCAAATATCCACTTGCAGATTCTACAAAAAGAGTGTTTGAAAGCTGAACTATGAAAGCAAGGTTCAACTCTGTGAGTTGAATGCAAACATCACAAAGAAGTTTCTCAGCATGCTTCCGTGTAGTTCTGGGAAGTTTATCCCGTTTCCAACGAAATCCTCAGAGAAGTCCAAATATCCACTTGCAGATTCTACAGAAAGTGTGTTTGGAAACTACTCCATCTAAAGGAATGTTCAGCTCTGTTAGTTCAATCCAATGATCACTAAGAATTGTCTGTGAATGCTTCCGTTTGGTTTTTAGATGAAGTTATTTCCTTTACTACAGTAGGCCTCAAAGCAGTCCAAATCTCCAATCGCAGATTCTACAAAAAGATTGTTTACAACCTGCTCTATCTATAGGAATGTTCAACTCTGTGAGTCGAATGCAATCATCACAAAGTAGTTTCTGAGAATGCTTCCATCTAGTTTTTATGTGAAGATTTTCCTTTTCCACCACAGGCCTCAAAGCCCTCCAAATGTCCACTTGCAGATTCTAGAATAAGAGGGTTTCAGAGCTGCTCTGTCAAGAGGAAAGTTCAATTCCTGAAGTGGAACACAAACTTCACAAAGCAGTTTCTGAGAATGTTTCTTTTTAGTTTTTCTGGGAAGATGAACCCGTTTCCAACCAAATCTTCACAGAGGTCCACATATCCACTTGCAGAATCCAAAGAAAGAGAGTTTCAAAACTGCTCCATCAACAGGATTGTTCACCTCTGTGAGTTGAATGCAGTCATCACAGGAAACATTCTGAGAATTCTTCTGTCTAGGTTTGATGTGAAGATATACCCGTTTCGAAGGAAGGCCACAAAGTGGTCCAAATATCCACTTGCAGATTCTACAAAAAGAGTGTTTGAAAGCTGAACTATGAAAGCAAGGTTCAACTCTGTGAGTTGAATGCAAACATCACAAAGAAGTTTCTCAGAATGCTTCCGTGTAGTTCTGGGAAGTTTAGCCCGTTTCCAAAGAAATCCTCACAGAGGTCCAAATATCCACTTGCAGATTCTACAGAAAGTGTGTTTGGAATCTGCTCCATCTAAAGGAATGTTCAGCTCTGTTAGTTCAATGCAATGATCACTAAGAATTGTCTGTGAATGCTTCCGTTTGGTTTTTAGATGAAGTTATTTCCTTTACTACAGTAGGCCTCAAAGCAGTCCAAATCTCCAATCGCAGATTCTACAAAAAGATTGTTTACAACCTGCTCTATGTATAGGAATGTTCAACTCTGTGAGTCGAATGCAATCATCACAAAGTAGTTTCTGAGAATGCTTCCATCTAGTTTTTATGTGAAGATTTTCCTTTTCCACCACAGGCCTCAAATCCCTCCAAATGTCCACTTGCAGATTCTAGAATAAGAGGGTTTCAGAGCTGCTCTGTCAAGAGGAAAGTTGAATTCCTGAAGTGGAACACAAACATCACAAAGCAGTTTCTGAGAATGCTTCTGTTTAGTTTTTCTGTGAAGATGAACCCGTTTCCAACGAAATCTTCACAGAGGTCCACATATCCACTTGCAGAATCCAAAGAAAGAGAGTTTCAAAACTGCTCCATCAGCAGGATTGTTCACCTCTGTGAGTTGAATGCAGTCATCACAGGAAACATTCTGAGAATGCTTCTGTCTAGGTTTGATGTGAAGATACACCCGTTTCGAAGGAAGGCCACAAAGTGGTCCAAATATCCACTTGCAGATTCTACAAAAAGAGTGTTTGAAAGCTGAACTATGAAAGCAAGGTTCAACTCTGTGAGTTGAATGCAAACATCACAAAGAAGTTTCTCACAATGCTTCCGTGTAGTTCTGGGAAGTTTATCCCGTTTCCAACGAAATCCTCAGAGAAGTCCAAATATCCACTTGCAGATTCTACAGAAAGTGTGTTTGGAAACTGCTCCATCTAAAGGAATGTTCAGCTCTGTTAGTTCAATCCAATGATCACTAAGAATTGTCTGTGAATGCTTCCGTTTGGTTTTTAGATGAAGTTATTTCCTTTACTACAGTAGGCCTCAAAGCAGTCCAAATCTCCAATCGCAGATTCTAAAAAAACATTGTTTACAACCTGCTCTATCTATAGGAATGTTCAACTCTGTGAGTTGAATGCAATCATCACAAAGTAGTTTCTGAGAATGCTTCCATCTAGTTTTTATGTGAAGATTTTCCTTTTCCACCACAGGCCTCAAAGCCCTCCAAATGTCCACTTGCAGATTCTAGAAAAAGAGGGTTTCAGAGCTGCTCTGTCAAGAGGAAAGTTCAATTCTTGAAGTGGAACACAAACATCACAAAGTAGTTTCTGAGAATGCTTCTGTTTAGTTTTTCTGTGAAGATGCACACGTTTCCAACGAAATCTTCATAGAGGTCCACATATCAACTTGCAGAATCCAAAGAAAGAGAGTTTCAAAAGTGCTCCATCAACAGGATTCTTCACCTCTGTGAGTTGAATGCAGTCATCACAGGAAACATTCTGAGAATGCTTCTGTCTAGGTTTGATGTGAAGATATACCCGTTTCGAAGGAAGGCCACAAAGTGGTCCAAATATCCACTTGCAGATTCTACAAAAAGAGTGTTTGAAAGCTGAACTATGAAAGCAAGGTTCAACTCTGTGAGTTGAATGCAAACATCACAAAGAAGTTTCTCAGCATGCTTCCGTGTAGTTCTGGGAAGTTTATCCCGTTTCCAACGAAATCCTCAGAGAAGTCCAAATATCCACTTGCAGATTCTACAGAAAGTGTGTTTGGAAACTGCTCCATCTAAAGGAATGTTCAGCTCTGTTAGTTCAATGCAATGATCACTAAGAATTGTCTGTGAATGCTTCCGTTTGGTTTTTACATGAAGTTATTTCCTTTACTACAGTAGGCCTCAAAGCAGTCCAAATCTCCAATCGCAGATTCTACAAAAAGATTGTTTACAACCTGCTCTATCTATAGGAATGTTCAACTCTGTGAGTCGAATGCAATCATCACAAAGTAGTTTCTGAGAATGCTTCCATCTAGTTTTTATGTGAAGATTTTCCTTTTCCACCACTGGCCTCAAAGCCCTCCAAATGTCCACTTGCAGATTCTAGAATAAGAGGGTTTCAGAGCTGCTCTGTCAAGAGGAAAGTTCAATTCCTGAAGTGGAACACAAAAATCACAAAGCAGTTTCTGAGAATGCTTCTGTTTAGTTTTTCTCTGAAGATGAACCCGTTTCCAACGAAATCTTCACAGAGGTCCACATATCAACTTGCAGAATCCAAAGAAAGAGAGTTTCAAAAGTGCTCCATCAACAGGATTGTTCACCTCTGTGAGTTGAATGCAGTCATCACAGGAAACATTCTGAGAATGCTTCTGTCTAGGTTTGATGTGAAGATATACCCGTTTCGAAGGAAGGCCACAAAGTGGTCCAAATATCCACTTGCAGATTCTACAAAAAGAGTGTTTGAAAGCTGAACTATGAAAGCAAGGTTCAACTCTGTGAGTTGAATGCAAACATCACAAAGAAGTTTCTCAGCATGCTTCCGTGTAGTTCTGGGAAGTTTATCCCGTTTCCAACGAAATCCTCAGAGAAGTCCAAATATCCACTTGCAGATTCTACAGAAAGTGTGTTTGGAAACTGCGCCGTCTAAAGCAATGTTCAGCTCTGTTAGTTCAATGCAATGATCACTAAGAATTGTCTGTGAATGCTTCCGTTTGGTTTTTAGATGAAGTTATTTCCTTTACTACAGTAGGCCTCAAAGCAGTCCAAATCTCCAATCGCAGATTCTACAAAAAGATTGTTTACAACCTGCTCTATCTATAGGAATGTTCAACTCTGTGAGTCGAATGCAATCATCACAAAGTAGTTTCTGAGAATGCTTCCATCTAGTTTTTATGGGAAGATTTTCCTTTTCCACCACAGGCCTCAAAGCCCTCCAAATGTCCACTTGCAGATTCTAGAAAAAGAGGGTTTCAGAGCTGCTCTGTCAAGAGGAAAGTTCAATTCTTGAAGTGGAACACAAACATCACAAAGCAGTTTCTGAGAATGCTTCTGTTTAGTTTTTCTGTGAAGATGAACCCGTTTCCAACGAAATCTTCACAGAGGTCCACATATCCACTTGCAGAATCCAAAGAAAGAGAGTTTCAAAACTGCTCCATCAGCAGGATTGTTCACCTCTGTGAGTTGAATGCAGTCATCACAGGAAACATTCTGAGAATGCTTCTGTCTAGGTTTGATGTGAAGATATACCCGTTTCGAAGGAAGGCCACAAAGTGGTCCAAATATCCACTTGCAGATTCTACAAAAAGAGTGTTTGAAAGCTGAACTATGAAAGCAAGGTTCAACTCTGTGAGTTGAATGCAAACATCACAAAGAAGTTTCTCAGAATGCTTCCCTGTAGTTCTGGGAAGTTTATCCCGTTTCCAACGAAATCCTCAGAGAAGTCCAAATATCCACTTGCAGATTCTACAGAAAGTGTGTTTGGAAACTGCTCCATCTAAAGGAATGTTCAGCTCTGTTAGTTCAATCCAATGATCACTAAGAATTGTCTGTGAATGCTTCCGTTTGGTTTTTAGATGAAGTTATTTCCTTTACTACAGTAGGCCTCAAAGCAGTCCAAATCTCCAATCGCAGATTCTACAAAAAGATTGTTTACAACCTGCTCTATCTATAGGAATGTTCAACTCTGTGAGTCGAATGCAATCATCACAAAGTAGTTTCTGAGAATGCTTCCATCTAGTTTTTATGTGAAGATTTTCCTTTTCCACCACAGGCCTCAAAGCCCTCCAAATGTCCACTTGCAGATTTTAGAATAAGAGGGTTTCAGAGCTGCTCTGTCGAGAGGAAAGTTCAATTCTTGAAGTGGAACACAAACATCACAAAGCAGTTTCTGAGAATGCTTCTGTTTAGTTTTTCTGTGAAGATGAACCCGTTTCCAACGAAATCTTCACAGAGGTCCACATATCCACTTGCAGAATCCAAAGAAAGAGAGTTTCAAAACTGCTCCATCAGCAGGATTGTTCACCTCTGTGAGTTGAATGCAGTCATCACAGGAAACATTCTGAGAATGCTTCTGTCTAGGTTTGATGTGAAGATATACCCGTTTCGAAGGAAGGCCACAAAGTGGTCCAAATATCCACTTGCAGATTCTACAAAAAGAGTGTTTGAAAGCTGAACTATGAAAGCAAGGTTCAACTCTGTGAGTTGAATGCAAACATCACAAAGAAGTTTCTCACAATGCTTCCGTGTAGTTCTGGGAAGTTTTTCCCGTTTCCAACGAAATCCTCAGAGAAGTCCAAATATCCACTTGCAGATTCTACAGAAAGTGTGTTTGGAAACTGCTCCATCTAAAGGAATGTTCAGCTCTGTTAGTTCAATCCAATGATCACTAAGAATTGTCTGTGAATGCTTCCGTTTGGTTTTTAGATGAAGTTATTTCCTTTACTACAGTAGGCCTCAAAGCAGTCCAAATCTCCAATCGCAGATTCTACAAAAAGATTGTTTACAACCTGCTCTATCTATAGGAATGTTCAACTCTGTGAGTCGAATGCAATCATCACAAAGTAGTTTCTGAGAATGCTTCCATCTAGTTTTTATGTGAAGATTTTCCTTTTCCACCACAGGCCTCAAAGCCCTCCAAATGTCCACTTGCAGATTCTAGAAAAAGAGGGTTTCAGAGCTGCTCTGTCAAGAGGAAAGTTCAATTCTTGAAGTGGAACACAAACATCACAAAGCAGTTTCTGAGAATGCTCCTGTTTAGTTTCTCTGTGAAGATGAACCCTTTTCCAACGAAATCTTCACAGAGGTCCACAAATCCACTTGCAGAATCCAAAGAAAGAGAGTTTCAAAACTGCTCCATCAGCAGGATTGTTCACCTCTGTGAGTTGAATGCAGTCATCACAGGAAACATTCTGAGAATGCTTCTGTCTAGGTTTGATATGAAGATATACCCGTTTCGAAGGAAGGCCACAAAGTGGTCCAAATATCCACTTGCAGATTCTACAAAAAGAGTGTTTGAAAGCTGAACTGTGAAAGCAAGGTTCAACTCTGTGAGTTGAATGCAAACATCACAAAGAAGTTTCTCAGAATGCTTCCGTGTAGTTCTGGGAAGTTTATCCCGTTTCCAACGAAATCCTCAGAGAGGTCCAAATATCCACTTGCAGATTCTACAGAAAGTGTGTTTGGAAACTGCTCCATCTAAAGGAATGTTCAGCTCTGTTAGTTCAATCCAATGATCACTAAGAATTGTCTGTGAATGCTTCCGTTTGGTTTTTAGATGAAGTTATTTCCTTTACTACAGTAGGCCTCAAAGCAGTCCAAATCTCCAATCGCAGATTCTACAAAAAGATTGTTTACAACCTGCTCTATCTATAGCAATGTTCAACTCTGTGAGTCGAATGCAATCATCACAAAGTAGTTTCTGAGAATGCTTCCATCTAGTTTTTATGTGAAGATTTTCCTTTTCCACCACAGGCCTCAAAGCCCTCCAAATGTCCACTTGCAGATTCTAGAATAAGAGGGTTTCAGAGCTGCTCTGTCAAGAGGAAAGTTCAATTCCTGAAGTGGAACACAAACATCACAAAGCAGTTTCTGAGAATGCTTCTGTTTAGTTTTTCTGTGAAGATGAACCCGTTTCCAACGAAATCTTCACAGAGGTCCACATATCCACTTGCAGAATCCAAAGAAAGAGAGTTTCAAAACTGCTCCATCAGCAGGATTGTTCACCTCTGTGAGTTGAATGCAGTCATCACAGGAAACATTCTGAGAATGCTTCTGTCTAGGTTTGATGTGAAGATATACCCGTTTCGAAGGAAGGCCACAAAGTGGTCCAAATATCCACTTGCAGAGTCTACAAAAAGAGTGTTTGAAAGCTGAACTATGAAAGAAAGGTTCAACTCTGTGAGTTGAATGCAAACATCACAAAGAAGTTTCTCAGAATGCTTCCGTGTAGTTCTGGGAAGTTTATCCCGTTTCCAACGAAATCCTCAGAGAGGTCCAAATATCCACTTGCAGATTCTACAGAAAGTGTGTTTGGAAACTGCGCCATCTAAAGCAATGTTCAGCTCTGTTAGTTCAATGCAATGATCACTAAGAATTGTCTGTGAATGCTTCCGTTTGGTTTTTAGATGAAGTTATTTCCTTTACTACAGTAGGCCTCAAAGCAGTCCAAATCTCCAATCGCAGATTCTACAAAAAGATTGTTTACAACCTGCTCTATCTATAGGAATGTTCAACTCTGTGAGTCGAATGCAATCATCACAAAGTAGTTTCTGAGAATGCTTCCATCTAGTTTTTATGTGAAGATTTTCCTTTTCCACCACAGGCCTCAAAGCCCTCCAAATGTCCACTTGCAGATTCTAGAAAAAGAGGGTTTCAGAGCTGCTCTGTCAAGAGGAAAGTTCAATTCTTGAAGTGGAACACAAACATCACAAAGTAGTTTCTGAGAATGCTTCTGTTTAGTTTTTCTGTGAAGATGAACCCGTTTCCAACGAAATCTTCACAGAGGTCCACATATCAACTTGCAGAATCCAAAGAAAGAGAGTTTCAAAAGTGCTCCATCAACAGGATTGTTCACCTCTGTGAGTTGAATGCAGTCATCACAGGAAACATTCTGAGAATGCTTCTGTCTAGGTTTGATGTGAAGATATACCCGTTTCGAAGGAAGGCCACAAAGTGGTCCAAATATCCACTTGCAGATTCTACAACAAGAGTGTTTGAAAGCTGAACTATGAAAGCAAGTTTCAACTCTGTGAGTTGAATGCAAACATCACAAAGAAGTTTCTCAGAATGCTTCCGTGTAGTTCTGGGAAGTTTATCCCGTTTCCAACGAAATCCTCAGAGAGGTCCAAATATCCACTTGCAGATTCTACAGAAAGTGTGTTTGGAAACTGCGCCATCTAAAGGAATGTTCAGCTCTGTTAGTTCAATGCAATGATCACTAAGAATTGTCTGTGAATGCTTCCGTTTGGTTTTTAGATGAAGTTATTTCCTTTACTACAGTAGGCCTCAAAGCAGTCCAAATCTCCAATCGCAGATTCTACAAAAAGATTGTTTACAACCTGCTCTATCTATAGGAATGTTCAACTCTGTGAGTCGAATGCAATCATCACAAAGTAGTTTCTGAGAATGCTTCCATCTAGTTTTTATGTGAAGATTTTCCTTTTCCACCACAGGCCTCAAAGCCCTCCAAATGTCCACTTACAGATTCTAGAAAAAGAGGGTTTCAGAGCTGCTCTGTCAAGAGGAAAGTTCAATTCTTGAAGTGGAACACAAACATCACAAAGCAGTTTCTGAGAATGCTCCTGTTTAGTTTTTCTGTGAAGATGAACCCGTTTCCAACGAAATCTTCACAGAGGTCCACATATCCACTTGCAGAATCCAAAGAAAGACAGTTTCAAAACTGCTCCATCAGCAGGATTGTTCACCTCTGTGAGTTGAATGCAGTCATCACAGGAAACATTCTGAGAATGCTTCTGTCTAGGTTTGATGTGAAGATATACCCGTTTCGAAGGAAGGCCACAAAGTGGTCCAAATATCCACTTGCAGATTCTACAAAAAGAGTGTTTGAAAGCTGAACTATGAAAGCAAGGTTCAACTCTGTGAGTTGAATGCAAACATCACAAAGAAGTTTCTCAGAATGCTTCCGTGTAGTTCTGGGAAGTTTATCCCGTTTCCAACGAAATCCTCAGAGAAGTCCAAATATCCACTTTCAGATTCTACAGAAAGTGTGTTTGGAAACTGCTCCATCTAAAGGAATGTTCAGCTCTGTTAGTTCAATCCAATGATCACTAAGAATTGTCTGTGAATGCTTCCGTTTGGTTTTTAGATGAAGTTATTTCCTTTACTACAGTAGGCCTCAAAGCAGTCCAAATCTCCAATCGCAGATTCCACAAAAAGATTGTTTACAACCTGCTCTATCTATAGGAATGTTCAACTCTGTGAGTCGAATGCAATCATCACAAAGTAGTTTCTGAGAATGCTTCCATCTAGTTTTTATGTGAAGATTTTCCTTTTCCACCACAGGCCTCAAAGCCCTCCAAATGTCCACTTGCAGATTCTAGAATAAGAGGGTTTCAGAGCTGCTCTGTCAAGAGGAAAGTTCAATTCCTGAAGTGGAACACAAACATCACAAAGCAGTTTCTGAGAATGCTCCTGTTTACTTTTTCTGTGAAGATGAACCCGTTTCCAACGAAATATTCACAGAGGTCCACATATCCACTTGCAGAATCCAAAGAAAGAGAGTTTCAAAACTGCTCCATCAGCAGGATTGTTCACATTTGTGAGTTGAATGCAGTCATCACAGGAAACATTCTGAGAATGCTTCTGTCTAGGTTTGATGTGAAGATATACCCGTTTCGAAGGAAGGCCACAAAGTGGTCCAAATATCCACTTGCAGATTCTACAAAAAGAGTGTTTGAAAGCTGAACTATGAAAGCAAGGTTCAACTCTGTGAGTTGAATGCAAACATCACAAAGAAGTTTCTCAGAATACTTCCGTGTAGTTCTGGGAAGTTTATCCCGTTTCCAACGAAATCCTCAGAGAGGTCCAAATATCCACTTGCAGATTCTACAGAAAGTGGGTTTGGAAACTGCTCCATCTAAAGGAATGTTCAGCTCTGTTAGTTCAATCCAATGATCACTAAGAATTGTCTGTGAATGCTTCCGTTTGGTTTTTAGATGAAGTTATTTCCTTTACTACAGTAGGGCTCAAAGCAGTCCAAATCTCCAATCGCAGATTCTACAAAAAGATTGTTTACAACCTGCTCTATCTATAGGAATGTTCAACTCTGTGAGTCGAATGCAATCATCACAAGGTAGTTTCTGAGAATGCTTCCATAAAGTTTTTACGTGAAGATTTTCCTTTTCCACCACAGGCCTCAAAGCCCTCCAAATGTCCACTTGCAGATTCTAGAAAAAGAGGGTTTCAGAGCTGCTCTGTCAAGAGGAAAGTTCAATTCTTGTAGTGGAACACAAACATCACAAAGCAGTTTCTGAGAATGCTTCTGTTTAGTTTTTCTGTGAAGATGAACCCGTTTCCAACGAAATCTTCACAGAGGTCCACATATCCACTTGCAGAATCCAAAGAAAGAGAGTTTCAAAACTGCTCCATCAGCAGGATTGTTCACCTCTGTGAGTTGAATGCAGTCATCACAGGAAACATTCTGAGAATGCTTCTGTCTAGGTTTGATGTGAAGATATACCCGTTTCGAAGGAAGGCCACAAAGTGGTCCAAATATCCACTTGCAGATTCTACAAAAAGAGTGTTTGAAAGCTGAACTATGAAAGCAAGGTTCAACTCTGTGAGTTGAATGCAAACATCACAAAGAAATTTCTCACAATGCTTCCGTGTAGTTCTGGGAAGTTTATACCGTTTCCAACGAAATCCTTAGAGAAGTCCAAATATCCACTTGCAGATTCTACAGAAAGTGTGTTTGGAAACTGCTCCATCTAAAGGAATGTTCAGCTCTGTTAGTTCAATCCAATGATCACTAAGAATTGTCTGTGAATGCTTCCGTTTGGTTTTTAGATGAAGTTATTTCCTTTACTACAGTAGGCCTCAAAGCAGTCCAAATCTCCAATCGCAGATTCTACAAAAAGATTGTTTACAACCTGCTCTATCTATAGGAATGTTCAACTCTGTGAGTCGAATGCAATCATCACAAAGTAGTTTCTGAGAATGCTTCCATCTAGTTTTTATGTGAAGATTTTCCTTTTCCACACAGGCCTCAAAGCCCTCCAAATGTCCACTTGCAGATTCTAGAAAAAGAGGGTTTCAGAGCTGCTCTGTCAAGAGGAAAGTTCAATTCTTGAAGTGGAACACAAACATCACAAAGCAGTTTCTGAGAATGCTCCTGTTTAGTTTTTCTGTGAAGATAAACACGTTTCCAACGAAATCTTCACAGAGGTCCACATATCCACTTGCAGAATCCAAAGAAAGAGAGTTTCAAAACTGCTCCGTCAGCAGGATTGTTCACCTCTGTGAGTTGAATGCAGTCATCACAGGAAACATTCTGAGAATGCTTCTGTCTAGGTTTGATGTGAAGATATACCCGTTTCGAAGGAAGGCCACAAAGTGGTCCAAATATCCACTTGCAGATTCTACAAAAAGAGTGTTTGAAAGCTGAACTATGAAAGCAAGGTTCAACTCTGTGAGTTGAATGCAAACATCACAAATAAGTTTCTCAGAATGCTTCCGTGTAGTTCTGGGAAGTTTATCCCGTTTCCAACGAAATCCTCAGAGAAGTCCAAATATCCACTTGCAGATTCTACAGAAAGTGGGTTTGGAAACTGCTCCATCTAAAGGAATGTTCAGCTCTGTTAGTTCAATCCAATGATCACTAAGAATTGTGCTGTGAATGCTTCTGTTTGGTTTTTAGATGAAGTTATTTCCTTTACTACAGTAGGCCTCAAAGCAGTCCAAATCTCCAATCGCAGACTCTACAAAAAGATTGTTTACAACCTGCTCTATCTATAGGAATGTTCAACTCTGTGAGTCGAATGCAATCATCACAAAGTAGTTTCTGAGAATGCTTCCATCTAGTTTTTATGTGAAGATTTTCCTTTTCCACCACAGGCCTCAAAGCCCTCCAAATGTCCACTTGCAGATTCTAGAAAAAGAGGGTTTCAGAGCTGCTCTGTCAAGAGGAAAGTTCAATTCTTGAAGTGGAACACAAACATCACAAAGCAGTTTCTGAGAATGCTCCTGTTTAGTTTTTCTGTGAAGATGAACCCGTTTCCAACGAAATCTTCACAGAGGTCCACATATCCACTTGCAGAATCCAAAGAAAGAGAGTTTCAAAACTGCTCCATCAGCAGGATTGTTCACCTCTGTGAGTTGAATGCAGTCATCACAGGAAACATTCTGAGAATGCTTCTGTCTAGGTTTGATGTGAAGATATACCCGTTTCGAAGGAAGGCCACAAAGTGGTCCAAATATCCACTTGCAGATTCTACAAAAAGAGTGTTTGAAAGCTGAACTATGAAAGCAAGGTTCAACTCTGTGAGTTGAATGCAAACATCACAAAGAAGTTTCTCAGAATGCTTCCGTGTAGTTCTGGGAAGTTTATCCCGTTTCCAACGAAATCCTCAGAGAGGTCCAAATATCCACTTGCAGATTCTACAGAAAGTGTGTTTGGAAACGGCTCCATCTAAAGGAATGTTCAGCTCTGTTAGTTCAATCCAATGATCACTAAGAATTGTCTGTGAATGCTTCCGTTTGGTTTTTAGATGAAGTTATTTCCTTTACTACAGTAGGCCTCAAAGCAGTCCAAATCTCCAATCGCAGATTCTACAAAAAGATTGTTTTCAACCTGCTCTATCTATAGGAATGTTCAACTCTGTGAGTCGAATGCAATCATCACAAAGTAGTTTCTGAGAATGCTTCCATCTAGTTTTTATGTGAAGATTTTCCTTTTCCACCACAGGCCTCAAAGCCCTCCAAATGTCCACTTGCAGATTCTAGAAAAAGAGGGTTTCAGAGCTGCTCTGTCAAGAGGAAAGTTCAATTCCTGAAGTGGAACACAAACATCACAAAGCAGTTTCTGAGAATGCTTCTGTTTAGTTTTTCTGTGAAGATGAACCCGTTTCCAACGAAATCTTCACAGAGGTCCACATATCCACTTGCAGAATCCAAAGAAAGAGAGTTTCAAAACTGCTCCATCAACAGGATTGTTCAAGTCTGTGAGTTGAATGCAGTCATCACAGGAAACATTCTGAGAATGCTTCTGTCTAGGTTTGATGTGAAGATATACCCGTTTCGAAGGAAGGCCACAAAGTGGTCCAAATATCCACTTGCAGATTCTACAAAAAGAGTGTTTGAAAGCTGAACTATGAAAGCAAGGTTCAACTCTGTGAGTTGAATGAAAACATCACAAAGAAGTTTCTCAGAATGCTTCCGTGTAGTTCTGGGAAGTTTATCCCGTATCCAACGAAATCCTCAGAGAAGTCCAAATATCCACTTGCAGATTCTACAGAAAGTGTGTTTGGAAACTGCGCCATCTAAAGGAATGTTCAGCTCTGTTAGTTCAATCCAATGATCACTAAGAATTGTCTGTGAATGCTTCCGTTTGGTTTTTAGATGAAGTTATTTCCTTTACTACAGTAGGCCTCAAAGCAGTCCAAATCTCCAATCGCAGATTCTACAAAAAGATTGTTTTCAACCTGCTCTATCTATAGGAATGTTCAACTCTGTGAGTCGAATGCAATCATCACAAAGTAGTTTCTGAGAATGCTTCCATCTAGTTTTTATGTGAAGATTTTCCTTTTCCACCACAGGCCTCAAAGCCCTCCAAATGTCCACTTGCAGATTCTAGAAAAAGAGGGTTTCAGAGCTGCTCTGTCAAGAGGAAAGTTCAATTCTTGAAGTGGAACACAAACATCACAAAGCAGTTTCTGAGAATGCTCCTGTTTAGTTTTTCTGTGAAGATGAACCTGTTTCCAACGAAATCTTCACAGAGGTCCACATATCCACCTGCAGAATCCAAAGAAAGAGAGTTTCAAAACTGCTCCATCAGCAGGATTGTTCACCTCTGTGAGTTGAATGCAGTCATCACAGGAAACATTCCGAGAATGCTTCTGTCCAGGTTTGATGTGAAGATATAACCGTTTCGAAGGAAGGCCACAAAGTGGTCCAAATATCCATTGGAGATTCTACAAAAAGAGTGTTTGAAAGCTGAACTATGAAAGCAAGGTTCAACTCTGTGAGTTGAATGCAAACATCAGAAAGAAGTTTCTCAGCATGCTTCCGTGTAGTTCTGGGAAGTTTATGCCGTTTCCAACGAAATCCTCAGAGTGGTCCAAATATCCACTTGCAGATTCTACAGAAAGTGTGTTTGGAAACTGCGCCATCTAAAGCAATGTTCAGCTCTGTTAGTTCAATGCAATGATCACTAAGAATTGTCTGTGAATGCTTCCGTTTGGTTTTTAGATGAAGTTATTTCCTTTACTACAGTAGGCCTCAAAGCAGTCCAAATCTCCAATCGCAGATTCTACAAAAAGATTGTTTACAACCTGCTCTATCTATAGGAATGTTCAACTCTGTGAGTCGAATGCAATCATCACAAAGTAGTTTCTGAGAATGCTTCCATCTAGTTTTTATGTGAAGATTTTCCTTTTCCACCACAGGCCTCAAAGCCCTCCAAATGTCCACTTGCAGATTCTAGAAAAAGAGGGTTTCAGAGCTGCTCTGTCAAGAGGAAAGTTCAATTCCTGAAGTGGAACACAAACATCACAAAGCAGTTTCTGAGAATGCTTCTGTTTAGTTTTTCTGTGAAGATGAACCCGTTTCCAACGAAATCTTCACAGAGGTCCACATATCCACTTGCAGAATCCAAAGAAAGAGAGTTTCAAAACTGCTCCATCAACAGGATTGTTCACCTCTGTGAGTTGAATGCAGTCATCACAAGAAACATTCTGAGAATGCTTCTGTCTAGGTTTGATGTGAAGATATACCCGTTTCGAAGGAAGGCCACAAAGTGGTCCAAATATCCACTTGCAGATTCTACAAAAAGAGTGTTTGAAAGCTGAACTATGAAAGCAAGGTTCAACTCTGTGAGTTGAATGCAAACATCACAAAGAAGTTTCTCAGAATGCTTCCGTGTAGTTCTGGGAAGTTTATCCCGTTTCCAACGAAATCCTCAGAGAGGTCCAAATATCCACTTGCAGATTTTACAGAAAGTGTGTTTGGAAACTACGCCATCTAAAGGAATGTTCAGCTCTGTTAGATCAATGCAATGATCACTAAGAATTGTCTGTGAATGCTTCCGTTTGGTTTTTAGATGAAGTTATTTCCTTTACTACAGTAGGCCTCAAAGCAGTCCAAATCTCCAATCGCAGATTCTACAAAAAGATTGTTTACAACCTGCTCTATCTATAGGAATGTTCAACTCCGTGAGTCGAATGCAATCATCACAAAGTAGTTTCTGAGAATGCTTCAATCTAGTTTTTATGTGAAGATTTTCCTTTTCCACCACAGGCCTCAAAGCCCTCCAAATGTCCACTTGCAGATTCTAGAAAAAGAGGGTTTCAGAGCTGCTCTGTCAAGAGGAAAGTTCAATTCCTGAAGTGGAACACAAACATCACAAAGCAGTTTCTGAGAATGCTTCTGTTTAGTTTTTCTGTGAAGATGAACCCGTTTCCAACGAAATCTTCACAGAGGTCCACATATCCACTTGCAAAATCCAAAGAAAGAGAGTTTCAAAACTGCTCCATCAGCAGGATTGTTCACCTCTGTGAGTTGAATGCAGTCATCACAGGAAACATTCTGAGAATGCTTCTGTCTAGGTTTGATGTGAAGATATACCCGTTTCGAAGGAAGGCCACAAAGTGGTCCAAATATCCACTTGCAGATTCTACAAAAAGAGTGTTTGAAAGCTGAACTATGAAAGCAAGGTTCAACTCTGTGAGTTGAATGCAAACATCACAAAGAAGTTTCTCAGAATGCTTCCGTGTAGTTCTGGGAAGTTTATCCCGTTTCCAACGAAATCCTCAGAGAAGTCCAAATATCCACTTGCAGATTCTACAGAAAGTGGGTTTGGAAACTGCTCCATCTAAAGGAATGTTCAGCTCTGTTAGTTCAATGCAATGATCACTAAGAATTGTCTGTGAATGCTTCCGTTTGGTTTTTAGATGAAGTTATTTCCTTTACTACAGTAGGCCTCAAAGCAGTCCAAAACTCCAATCGCAGATTCTACAAAAAGATTGTTTACAACCTGCTCTATCTATAGGAGTGTTCAACTCTGTGAATCGAATGCAATCATCACAAAGAAGTTTCTGAGAATGCTTCCATAAAGTTTTTATGTGAAGATTTTCCTTTTCCACCACAGGCCTCAAAGCCCTCCAAATATCCACTTGCAGATTCTAGAAAAAGAGGGTTTCAGAGCTGCTCTGTCAAGAGGAAAGTTCAATTCTTGAAGTGGAACACAAACATCACAAAGCAGTTTCTGAGAATGCTCCTGTTTAGTTTTTCTGTGAAGATGAACCCGTTTCCAACGAAATCTTCACAGAGGTCCACATATCCACTTGCAGAATCCAAAGAAAGAGAGTTTCAAAACTGCTCCATCAGCAGGATTGTTCACCTCTGTGAGTTGAATGCAGTCATCACAGGAAACATTCTGAGAATGCTTCTGTCTAGGTTTGATGTGAAGATATACCCGTTTCGAAGGAAGGCCACAAAGTGGTCCAAATATCCACTTGCAGATTCTACAAAAAGAGTGTTTGAAAGCTGAACTATGAAAGCAAGGTTCAACTCTGTGAGTTGAATGCAAACATCACAAAGAAGTTTCTCAGAATGCTTCCGTGTAGTTCTGGGAAGTTTTTTCCATTTCCAAAGAAATCCTCAGAGAAGTCCAAATATCCACTTGCAGATTCTACAGAAAGTGTGTTTGGAAACTGCTCTATCTAAAGGAATGTTCAGCTCTGTTAGTTCAATCCAATGATCACTAAGAATTGTCTGTGAATGCTTCCGTTTGGTTTTTAGATGAAGTTATTTCCTTTACTACAGTAGGCCTCAAAGCAGTCCAAATCTCCAATCGCAGATTCTACAAAAAGATTGTTTACAACCTGCTCTATCTATAGGAATGTTCAACTCTGTGAGTCGAATGCAATCATCACAAAGTAGTTTCTGAGAATGCTTCCATCTAGTTTTTATGTGAAGATTTTCCTTTTCCACCACAGGCCTCAAAGCCCTCCAAATGTCCACTTGCAAATTGTAGAAAAAGAGGGTTTCACAGCTGCTCTGTCAGGAGGAAAGTTCAATTCTTGAAGTGGAACACAAACATCACAAAGCAGTTTCTGATAATGCTCCTGTTTAGTTTTTCTGTGAAGATGAACCCGTTTCCAACGAAATCTTCACAGAGGTCCACATATCCACTTGCAGAATCCAAAGAAAGAGAGTTTCAAAACTGCTCCATCAGCAGGATTGTTCACCTCTGTGAGTTGAATGCAGTCATCACAGGAAACATTCTGAGAATGCTTCTGTCTAGGTTTGATGTGAAGATATACCCTTTTCGAAGGAAGGCCACAAAGTGGTCCAAATATCCACTTGCAGATTCTACAAAAAGAGTGTTTGAAAGCTGAACTATGAAAGCAAGGTTCAACTCTGTGAGTTGAATGCAAACATCACAAAGAAGTTTCTCAGAATGCTTCCGTGTAGTTCTGGGAAGTTTATCCCGTTTCCAACGAAATCCTCAGAGAGGTCCAAATATCCACTTGCAGATTCTACAGAAAGTGTGTTTGGAAACTACGCCATCTAAAGGAATGTTCAGCTCTGTTAGATCAATGCAATGATCACTAAGAATTGTCTGTGAATGCTTCCGTTTGGTTTTTAGATGAAGTTATTTCCTTTACTACAGTAGGCCTCAAAGCAGTCCAAATCTCCAATCGCAGATTCTACAAAAAGATTGTTTACAACCTGCTCTATGTATAGGAATGTTCAACTCTGTGAGTCGAATGCAATCATCACAAAGTAGTTTCTGAGAATGCTTCCATCTAGTTTTTATGTGAAGATTTTCCTTTTCCACCACAGGCCTCAAAGCCCTCCAAATGTCCACTTGCAGATTCTAGAAAAAGAGGGTTTCAGAGCTGCTCTGTCAAGAGGAAAGTTCAATTCTTGAAGTGGAACACAAACATCACAAAGTAGTTTCTGAGAATGCTTCTGTTTAGTTTTTCTGTGAAGATGAACCCGTTTCCAACGAAACCTTCACAGAGGTCCACATATCCACTTGCAGAATCCAAAGAAAGAGAGTTTCAAAACTGCTCCATCAGCAGGATTGTTCACCTCTGTGAGTTGAATGCAGTCATCACAGGAAACATTCTGAGAATGCTTCTGTCTAGGTTTGATGTGAAGTATATACCCGTTTCGAACGAAGGCCACAAAGTGGTCCAAATATCCACTTGCAGATTCTACAAAAAGAGTGTTTGAAAGCTGAACTATGAAAACAAGGTTCAACTCTGTGAGTTGAATGCAAACATCACAAAGAAGTTTCTCAGAATGCTTCCGTGTAGTTCTGGGAAGTTTATCCCGTTTCCAACGAAATCCTCAGAGAGGTCAAAATATCCACTTGCAGATTCTACAGAAAGTGTGTTTGGAAACTGTGCCATCTAAAGGAATGTTCAGCTCTGTTAGTTCAATCCAATAATCACTAAGAATTGTCTGTGAATGCTTCCGTTTGGTTTTTAGATGAAGTTATTTCCTTTACTACAGTAGGCCTCAAAGCAGTCCAAATCTCCAATCGCAGATTCTACAAAAAGATTGTTTACAACCTGCTCTATCTATAGGAATGTTCAACTCTGTGAGTCGAATGCAATCATCACAAAGTAGTTTCTGAGAATGCTTCCATCTAGCTTTTATGTGAAGATTATCCTTTTCAACCACAGGCCTCAAAGCCCTCCAAATGTCCACTTGCAGATTCTAGAATAAGAGGGCTTCAGAGCTGCTCTGTCAAGAGGAAAGTTCAATTCCTGAAGTGGAACAAAAACATCACAAAGCAGTTTCTGAGAATGCTTCTGTTTAGTTTTTCTGTGAAGATGAACCCGTTTCCAACGAAATCTTCACAGAGGTCCACATATCCACTTGCAGAATCCAAAGAAAGAGAGTTTCAAAACTGCTCTATCAGAAGGATTGTTCACCTCTGTGAGTTGAATGCAGTCATCACAGGAAACATCCTGAGAATGCTTCTGTCTAGGTTTGATGTGAAGATATACCCGTTTCGAAGGAAGGCCACAAAGTGGTCCAAATATCCACTTGCAGATTCTACAAAAAGAGTGTTTGAAAGCTGAACTATGAAAGCAAGGTTCAACTCTGTGTGTTGAATGCAAACATCCAAAGAAGATTCTCAGAATGCTTCCGTGTAGTTCTGGGAAGTTTATCCCGTTTCCAACGAAATCCTCAGAGAGGTCCAAATATCCACTTGCAGATTCTACAGAAAGTGTGTTTGGAAACTGCTCCATCTAAAGGAATGTTCAGCTCTGTTAGTTCAATCCAATGATCACTAAGAATTGTCTGTGAATGCTTCCGTTTGGTTTTTAGATGAAGTTATTTCCTTTACTACAGTAGGCCTCAAAGCAGTCCAAATCTCCAATCGCAGATTCTACAAAAAGATTGTTTACAACCTGCTCTATCTATAGGAATGTTCAACTCTGTGAGTCGAATGCAATCATCACAAAGTAGTTTCTGAGAATGCTTCCATCTAGTTTTTATGTGAAGATTTTCCTTTTCCACCACAGGCCTCAAAGCCCTCCAAATGTCCACTTGCAGATTCTAGAAAAAGAGGGTTTCAGAGCTGCTCTGTCAAGAGGAAAGTTCAATTCCTGAAGTGGAACACAAACATCACAAAGCAGTTTCTGAGAATGCTTCTGTTTAGTTTTTCTGTGAAGATGAACCCGTTTCCAACGAAATCTTCACAGAGGTCCACATATCCACTTGCAGAATCCAAAGAAAGAGAGTTTCAAAACTGCTCCATCAACAGGATTGTTCACCTCTGTGAGTTGAATGCAGTCATCACAGGAAACATTCTGAGAATGCTTCTGTCTAGGTTTGATGTGAAGATATACACGTTTCGAAGGAAGGCCACAAAGTGGTCCAAATATACACTTGCAGATTCTACAAAAAGAGTGTTTGAAAGCTGAACTATGAAAGCAAGTTTCAACTCTGTGAGTTGAATGCAAACATCACAAAGAAGTTTCTCACAATGCTTCCGTGTAGTTCTGAGAAGTTTATCCCGTTTCCAACGAAATCCTCAGAGAAGTCCAAATATCCACTTTCAGATTCTACAGAAAGTGTGTTTGGAAACTGCTCCATCTAAAGGAATGTTCAGCTCTGTTAGTTCAATGCAATGATCACTAAGAATTGTCTGTGAATGCTTCCGTTTGGTTTTTAGATAAAGTTATTTCCTTTACTACAGTAGGCCTCAAAGCAGTCCAAATCTCCAATCGCAGATTCTACAAAAAGATTGTTTACAACCTACTCTATCTATAGGAATGTTCAACTCTGTGAGTCGAATGCAATCATCACAAAGTAGTTTCTGAGAATGCTTCCATCTAGTTTTTATGTGAAGATTTTCCTTTTCCACCACAGGCCTCAAAGCCCTCCAAATGTCCACTTGCAGATTCTAGAATAAGAGGGTTTCAGAGCTGCTCTGTCAAGAGGAAAATACAATTCCTGAAGTGGAACACAAACATCACAAGGCAGTTTCTGAGAATGCTTCTGTTTAGTTTTTCTGTGAAGATGAACCCGTTTCCAACGAAATCTTCACAGAGGTCCACATATCCACTTGCAGAATCCAAAGAAAGAGAGTTTCAAAACTGCTCCATCAGCAGGATTGTTCACCTCTGTGAGTTGAATGCAGTCATCACAGGAAACATTCTGAGAATGCTTCTGTCTAGGTTTGATGTGAAGATATACCCGTTTCGAAGGAAGGCCACAAAGTGGTCCAAATATCCACTTGCAGATTCTACAAAAAGAGTGTTTGAAAGCTGAACTATGAAAGCAAGGTTCAACTCTGTGAGTTGAATGCAAACATCACAAAGAAGTTTCTCAGAATACTTCCGTGTAGTTCTGGGAACTTTATCCTGTTTCCAACAAAATCCTCAGAGAGGTCCAAATATCCACTTGCAGATTCTACAGAAAGTGTGTTTGGAAACTGCGCTATCTAAGGGAATGTTCAGCTCTGTTAGTTCAATCCAATGATCACTAAGAATTGTCTGTGAATGCTTCCGTTTGGTTTTTAGATGAAGTTATTTCCTTTACTACAGTAGGCCTCAAAGCAGTCCAAATCTCCAATCGCAGATTCTACAAAAAGATTGTTTACAACCTGCTCTATCTATAGGAATGTTCAACTCTGTGAGTCGAATGCAATCATCACAAAGTAGTTTCTGAGAATGCTTCCATCTAGTTTTTATGGGAAGATTTTCCTTTTCCACCACAGGCCTCAAAGGCCTCCAAATGTCCACTTGCAGATTCTAGAAAAAGAGGGTTTCAGAGCTGCTCTATCAAGAGGAAAGTTCAATTCTTGAAGTGGAACACAAACATCACAAAGCAGTTTCTGAGAATGCTTCTGTTTAGTTTTTCTGTGAAGATGAACCCGTTTCCAACGAAATCTTCACAGAGGTCCACATATCAACTTGCAGAATCCAAAGAAAGAGAGTTTCAAAACTGCTCCATCAACAGGATTGTTCACCTCTGTGAGTTGAATGCAGTCATCACAGGAAACATTCTGAGAATGCTTCTGTCTAGGTTTGATGTGAAGATATACCCGTTTCGAAGGAAGGCCACAAAGTGGTCCAAATATCCACTTGCAGATTCTACAAAAAGAGTGTTTGAAAGCTGAACTATGAAAGCAAGGTTCAACTCTGTGAGTTGAATGCAAACATCACAAAGAAGTTTCTCAGAATGCTTCCGTGTAGTTCTGGGAAGTTTATCCCGTTTCCAACGAAATCCTCAGAGAGGTCCAAATATCCACTTGCAGATTCTACAGAAAGTGTGTTTGGAAACTGCGCCATCTAAAGGAATGTTCAGCTCTGTTAGTTCAATGCAATGATCACTAAGAATTGTCTGTGAATGCTTCCGTTTGTTTTTTAGATGAAGTTATTTCCTTTACTACAGTAGGCCTCAAAGCAGTCCAAATCTCCAATCGCAGATTCTACAAAAAGATTGTTTACAACCTGCTCTATCTATAGGAATGTTCAACTCTGTGAGTCGAATGCAATCATCACAAAGGAGTTTCTGAGAATGCTTCCATCTAGTTTTTATGTGAAGATTTTCCTTTTCCACCACAGGCCTCAAAGCCCTCCAAATGTCCACTTGCAGATTCTAGAATAAGAGGATTTCAGAGCTGCTCTGTCAAGAGGAAAGTTCAATTCCTGAAGTGGAACACAAACATCACAAAGCAGTTTCTGAGAATGCTTCTGTTTAGTTTTTCTGTGAAGATGAACCCGTTTCCAACGAAATCTTCACAGAGGTCCACATATCCACTTGCAGAATCCAAAGAAAGAGAGTTTCAAAACTGCTCCATCAGCAGGATTGTTCACCTCTGTGAGTTGAATGCAGTCATCACAGGAAACATTCTGAGAATGCTTCTGTCTAGGTTTGATGTGAAGATATACCCCTTTCGAAGGAAGGCCACAAAGTGGTCCAAATATCCACTTGCAGATTCTACAAAAAGAGTGTTTGAAAGCTGAACTATGAAAGCAAGGTTCAACTCTGTGAGTTGAATTCAAACATCACAAAGAAGTTTCTCAGAATGCTTCCGTGTAGTTCTGGGAAGTTTATCCCGTTTCCAAAGAAATCCTCAGAGAGGTCCAAATATCCACTTGCAGATTCTACAGAAAGTGGGTTTGGAAACTGCTGCATCTAAAGGAATGTTCAGCTCTGTTAGTTCAATCCAATGATCACTAAGAATTGTCTGTGAATGCTTCCGTTTGGTTTTTAGATGAAGTTATTTCCTTTACTACAGTAGGCCTCAAAGCAGTCCAAATCTCCAATCGCAGATTCTACAAAAAGATTGTTTACAACCTGCTCTATCTATAGGAATGTTCAACTCCGTGAGTCGAATGCAATCATCCCAAAGTAGTTTCTGAGAATGCTTCCATCTAGTTATTATGTGAAGATTTTCCTTTTCCACCACAGGCCTCAAAGCCCTCCAAATGTCCACTTGCAGATTCTAGAAAAAGAGGGTTTCAGAGCTGCTCTGTCAAGAGGAAAGTTCAATTCTTGAAGTGTAACACAAACATCACAAAGCAGTTTCTGAGAATGCTCCTGTTTAGTTTTTCTGTGAAGATGAACCCGTTTCCAACGAAATCTTCACAGAGGTCCACATATCCACTTGCAGAATCCAAAGAAAGAGAGTTTCAAAACTGCTCCATCAGCAGGATTGTTCACCTCTGTGAGTTGAATGCAGTCATCACAGGAAACATTCTGAGAATGCTTCTGTCTAGGTTTGATGTGAAGATATACCCGTTTCGAAGGAAGGCCACAAAGTGGTCCAAATATCCACTTGCAGATTCTACAAAAAGAGTGTTTGAAAGCTGAACTATGAAACCAAGGTTCAACTCTGTGAGTTGAATGCAAACTTCACAAAGAATTTTCTCACAATGCTTCAGTGTAGTTCTGGGAAGTTTATCCCGTTTCCAACGAAATCCTCAGAGAAGTCCAAATATCCACTTGCAGATTCTACAGAAAGTGGGTTTGGAAACTGCTCCATCTAAAGGAATGTTCAGCTCTGTTAGTTCAATCCAATGATCACTAAGAATTGTCTGTGAATGCTTCCGTTTGGTTTTTAGATGAAGTTATTTCCTTTACTACAGTAGGCCTCAAAGCAGTCCAAATCTCCAATCGCAGATTCTACAAAAAGATTGTTTACAACCTGCTCTATCTATAGGAATGTTCAACTCTGTGAGTCGAATGCAATCATCACAAAGTAGTTTCTGAGAATGCTTCCATCTAGTTTTTATGTGAAGATTTTCCTTTTCCACCACAGGCCTCAAAGCCCTCCAAATGTCCACTTGCAGATTCTAGAAAAAGAGGGTTTCAGAGCTGCTCTGTCAAGAGGAAAGTTCAATTCCTGAAGTGGAACACAAACATCACAAAGCAGTTTCTGAGAATGCTCCTGTTTAGTTTTTCTGTGAAGATGAACCCGTTTCCAACGAAATCTTCACAGAGGTCCACATATCCACTTGCAGAATCCAAAGAAAGGGAGTTTCAAAACTGCTCCATCAACAGGATTGTTCACCTCTGTGAGTTGAATGCAGTCGTCACAGGAAACATTCTGAGAATGCTTCTGTCTAGGTTTGATGTGAAGATATACCCGTTTCGAAGGAAGGCCACAAAGTGGTCCAAATATCCACTTGCAGATTCTACAAAAAGAGTGTTTGAAAGCTGAACTATGAAAGCAAGGTTCAACTCTGTGAGTTGAATGCAAACATCACAAAGAAGTTTCTCAGAATGCTTCCGTGTAGTTCTGGGAAGTTTATCCCGTTTCCAACGAAATCCTCAGAGAAGTCCAAATATCCACTTGCAGATTCTACAGAAAGTGTGTTTGGAAACTGCGCCATCTAAAGGAATGTTCAGCTCTGTTAGTTCAATGCAATGATCACTAAGAATTGTCTGTGAATGCTTCCGTTTGGTTTTTAGATGAAGTTATTTCCTTTACTACAGTAGGCCTCAAAGCAGTCCAAATCTCCAATCGCAGATTCTACAAAAAGATTGTTTACAACCTGCTCTATGTATAGGAATGTTCAACTCTGTGAGTCGAATGCAATCATCACAAAGTAGTTTCTGAGAATGCTTCCATCTAGTTTTTATGTGAAGATTTTCCTTTTCCACCACAGGCCTCAAAGCCCTCCAAATGTCCACTTGCAGATTCTAGAATAAGAGGGTTTTAGAGCTGCTCTGTCAAGAGGAAAGTTCAATTCCTGAAGTGGAACACAAACATCACAAAGCAGTTTCTGAGAATGCTTCTGTTTAGTTTTTCTGTGAAGATGAACCCGTTTCCAACGAAATCTTCACAGAGGTCCACATATCCACTTGCAGAATCCAAAGAAAGAGAGTTTCAAAACTGCTCCATCAGCAGGATTGTTCACCTCTGTGAGTTGAATGCAGTCATCACAGGAAACATTCTGAGAATGCTTCTGTCTAGGTTTGATGTGAAGATATACCCGTTTCGAAGGAAGGCCACAAAGTGGTCCAAATATCCACTTGCAGATTCTACAAAAAGAGTGTTTGAAAGCTGAACTATGAAAGCAAGGTTCAACTCTGTGAGTTGAATGCAAACATCACAAAGAAGTTTCTCAGAATGCTTCCGTGTAGTTCTGGGAAGTTTATCCCGTTTCCAACGAAATCCTCAGAGAAGTCCAAATATCCACTTGCAGATTCTACAGAAAGTGGGTTTGGAAACTGCTCCATCTAAAGGAATGTTCAGCTCTGTTAGTTCAATGCAATGATCACTAAGAATTGTCTGTGAATGCTTCCGTTTGGTTTTTAGATGAAGTTATTTCCTTTACTACAGTAGGCCTCAAAGCAGTCCAAATCTCCAATCGCAGATTCTACAAAAAGATTGTTTACAACCTGCTCTATGTATAGGAATGTTCAACTCTGTGAGTCGAATGCAATCATCACAAAGTAGTTTCTGAGAATGCTTCCATCTAGTTTTTATGTGAAGATTTTCCTTTTCCACCACAGGCCTCAAAGCCCTCCAAATGTCCACTTGCAGATTCTAGAATAAGAGGGTTTCAGAGCTGCTCTGTCAAGAGGAAAGTTCAATTCCTGAAGTGGAACACAAACATCACAAAGCAGTTTCTGAGAATGCTTCTGTTTAGTTTTTCTGTGAAGATGAACCCGTTTCCAACGAAATCTTCACAGTGGTCCACATATCAACTTGCAGAATCCAAAGAAAGAGAGTTTCAAAACTGCTCCATCAACAGGATTGTTCACCTCTGTGAGTTGAATGCAGTCATCACAGGAAACATTCTGAGAATGCTTCTGTCTAGGTTTGATGTGAAGATATACCCGTTTCGAAGGAAGGCCACAAAGTGGTCCAAATATCCACTTGCAGATTCTACAAAAAGAGTGTTTGAAAGCTGAACTATGAAAGCAAGGTTCAACTCTGTGAGTTGAATGCAAACATCACAAAGAAGTTTCTCAGAATGCTTCCCTGTAGTTCTGGGAAGTTTATCCCGTTTCCAACGAAATCCTCAGAGAGGTCCAAATATCCACTTGCAGATTCTACAGAAAGTGTGTTTGGAAACTGCGCCATCTAAAGGAATGTTCAGCTCTGTTAGTTCAATCCAATGATCACTAAGAATTGTCTGTGAATGCTTCCGTTTGGTTTTTAGATGAAGTTATTTCCTTTACTACAGTAGGCCTCAAAGCAGTCCAAATCTCCAATCGCAGATTCTACAAAAAGATTGTTTACAACCTGCTCTATGTATAGGAATGTTCAACTCTGTGAGTCGAATGCAATCATCACAAAGTAGTTTCTGAGAATGCTTCCATCTAGTTTTTATGTGAAGATTTTCCTTTTCCACCACAGGCCTCAAAGCCCTCCAAATGTCCACTTGCAGATTCTAGAATAAGAGGGTTTCAGAGCTGCTCTGTCAAGAGGAAAGTTCAATTCCTGAAGTGGAACACAAACATCACAAAGCAGTTTCTGAGAATGCTTCTGTTTAGTTTTTCTGTGAAGATGAACCCGTTTCCAACGAAATCTTCACAGAGGTCCACATATCAACTTGCAGAATCCAAAGAAAGAGAGTTTCAAAACTGCTCCATCAACAGGATTGTTCACCTCTGTGAGTTGAATGCAGTCATCACAGGAAACATTCTGAGAATGCTTCTGTCTAGGTTTGATGTGAAGATATACCCGTTTCGAAGGAAGGCCACAAAGTGGTCCAAATATCCACTTGCAGATTCTACAAAAAGAGTGTTTGAAAGCTGAACTATGAAAGCAAGGTTCAACTCTGTGAGTTGAATGCAAACATCACAAAGAAGTTTCTCAGAATGCTTCCGTGTAGTTCTGGGAAGTTTATCCCGTTTCCAACGAAATCCTCAGAGAAGTCCAAATATCCACTTGCAGATTCTACAGAAAGTGTGTTTGGAAACTGCGCCATCTAAAGGAATGTTCAGCTCTGTTAGTTCAATGCAATGATCACTAAGAATTGTCTGTGAATGCTTCCGTTTGGTTTTTAGATGAAGTTATTTCCTTTACTACAGTAGGCCTCAAAGCAGTCCAAATCTCCAATCGCAGATTCTACAAAAAGATTGTTTACAACCTGCTCTATCTATAGGAATGTTCAACACTGTGAGTCGAATGCAATCATCACAAAGTAGTTTCTGAGAATGCTTCCATCTAGTTTTTATGTGAAGATTTTCCTTTTCCACCACAGGCCTCAAAGCCCTCCAAATGTCCACTTGCAGATTCTAGAATAAGAGGGTTTTAGAGCTGCTCTGTCAAGAGGAAAGTTCAATTCCTGAAGTGGAACACAAACATCACAAAGCAGTTTCTGAGAATGCTTCTGTTTAGTTTTTCTGTGAAGATGAACCCGTTTCCAACGAAATCTTCACAGAGGTCCACATATCCACTTGCAGAATCCAAAGAAAGAGAGTTTCAAAACTGCTCCATCAGCAGGATTGTTCACCTCTGTGAGTTGAATGCAGTCATCACAGGAAACATTCTGAGAATGCTTCTGTCTAGGTTTGATGTGAAGATATACCCGTTTCGAAGGAAGGCCACAAAGTGGTCCAAATATCCACTTGCAGATTCTACAAAAAGAGTGTTTGAAAGCTGAACTATGAAAGCAAGGTTCAACTCTGTGAGTTGAATGCAAACATCACAAAGAAGTTTCTCACAATGCTTCCGTGTAGTTCTGGGAAGTTTATCCCGTTTCCAACGAAATCCTCAGAGAAGTCCAAATATCCACTTGCAGATTCTACAGAAAGTGGGTTTGGAAACTGCTCCATCTAAAGGAATGTTCAGCTCTGTTAGTTCAATCCAATGATCACTAAGAATTGTCTGTGAATGCTTCCGTTTGGTTTTTAGATGAAGTTATTTCCTTTACTACAGTAGGCCTCAAAGCAGTCCAAATCTCCAATCGCAGATTCTACAAAAAGATTGTTTACAACCTGCTCTATCTATAGGAATGTTCAACTCTGTGAGTCGAATGCAATCATCACAAAGTAGTTTCTGAGAATGCTTCCATCTAGTTTTTATGTGAAGATTTTCCTTTTCCACCACAGGCCTCAAAGCCCTCCAAATGTCCACTTGCAGATTCTAGAAAAAGAGGGTTTCAGAGCTGCTCTGTCAAGAGGAAAGTTCAATTCCTGAAGTGGAACACAAACATCACAAAGCAGTTTCTGAGAATGCTCCTGTTTAGTTTTTCTGTGAAGATGAACCCGTTTCCAACGAAATCTTCACAGAGGTCCACATATCCACTTGCAGAATCCAAAGAAAGAGAGTTTCAAAACTGCTCCATCAACAGGAT
Source organism: Homo sapiens (assembly GCF_000001405.40). Taxonomy (NCBI): domain Eukaryota; kingdom Metazoa; phylum Chordata; class Mammalia; order Primates; family Hominidae; genus Homo; species Homo sapiens. The sequence goes on along the minus strand of NC_000011.10, from coordinate 51,669,281 downwards.
TGTTCACCTCTGTGAGTTGAATGCAGTCATCACAGGAAACATTCTGAGAATGCTTCTGTCTAGGTTTGATGTGAAGATATACCCGTTTCGAAGGAAGGCCACAAAGTGGTCCAAATATCCACTTGCAGATTCTACAAAAAGAGTGTTTGAAAGCTGAACTATGAAAGCAAGGTTCAACTCTGTGAGTTGAATGCAAACATCACAAAGAAGTTTCTCAGAATGCTTCCGTGTAGTTCTGGAAAGTTTATCCCGTTTCCAACGAAATCCTCAGAGAAGTCCAAATATCCACTTGCAGATTCTACAGAAAGTGTGTTTGGAAACTGCTCCATCTAAAGGAATGTTCAGCTCTGTTAGTTCAATGCAATGATCACTAAGAATTGTCTGTGAATGCTTCCGTTTGGTTTTTAGATGAAGTTATTTCCTTTACTACAGTAGGCCTCAAAGCAGTCCAAATCTCCAATCGCAGATTCTACAAAAAGATTGTTTACAACCTGCTCTATCTATAGGAATGTTCAACTCTGTGAGTCGAATGCAATCATCACAAAGTAGTTTCTGAGAATGCTTCCATCTAGTTTTTATGTGAAGATTTTCCTTTTCCACCACAGGCCTCAAAGCCCTCCAAATGTCCACTTGCAGATTCTAGAATAAGAGGGTTTCAGAGCTGCTCTGTCAAGAGGAAAGTTCAATTCCTGAAGTGGAACACAAACATCACAAAGCAGTTTCTGAGAATGCTTCTGTTTAGTTTTTCTGTGAAGATGAACCCGTTTCCAACGAAATCTTCACAGAGGTCCACATATCCACTTGCAGAATCCAAAGAAAGAGAGTTTCAAAACTGCTCCATCAGCAGGATTGTTCACCTCTGTGAGTTGAATGCAGTCATCACAGGAAACATTCTGAGAATCCTTCTGTCTAGGTTTGATGTGAAGATATACCCGTTTCGAAGGAAGGCCACAAAGTGGTCCTAATATCCACTTGCAGATTCTACAAAAAGAGTGTTTGAAAGCTGAACTATGAAAGCAAGGTTCAACTCTGTGAGTTGAATGCAAACATCACAAAGAAGTTTCTCAGAATGCTTCCGTGTAGTTCTGGGAAGTTTATCCCGTTTCCAACGAAATCCTCAGAGAAGTCCAAATATCCACTTGCAGATTCTACAGAAAGTGTGTTTGGAAACTGCTCCATCTAAAGGAATGTTCAGCTCTGTTAGTTCAATCCAATGATCACTAAGAATTGTCTGTGAATGCTTCCGTTTGGTTTTTAGATGAAGTTATTTCCTTTACTACAGTAGGCCTCAAAGCAGTCCAAATCTCCAATCGCAGATTCTACAAAAAGATTGTTTACAACCTGCTCTATCTATAGGAATGTTCAACTCTGTGAGTCGAATGCAATCATCACAAAGTAGTTTCTGAGAATGCTTCCATCTAGTTTTTATGGGAAGATTTTCCTTTTCCACCACAGGCCTCATGGCCCTCCAAATGTCCACTTGCAGATTCTAGAAAAAGAGGGTTTCAGAGCTGCTCTGTCAAGAGGAAAGTTCAATTCTTGAAGTGGAACACAAACATCACAAAGCAGTTTCTGAGAATGCTTCTGTTTAGTTTTTCTGTGAAAATGAACCCGTTTCCAACGAAATCTGCACAGTAGGTCCACATATCCACTTGCAGAATCCAAAGAAAGAGAGATTCAAAACTGCTCCATCAACAGGATTGTTCACCTCTGTGAGTTGAATGCAGTCATCACAGGAAACATTCTGAGAATGCTTCTGTCTAGGTTTGATGTGAAGATATACCCGTTTCGAAGGAAGGCCACAAAGTGGTCCAAATATCCACTTGCAGATTCTACAAAAAGAGTGTTTGAAAGCTGAACTATGAAAGCAAGGTTCAACTCTGTGAGTTGAATGCAAACATCACAAAGAAGTTTCTCAGAATGCTTCCCTGTAGTTCTGGGAAGTTTATCCCGTTTCCAACGAAATCCTCAGAGAAGTCCAAATATCCACTTGCAGATTCTACAGAAAGTGTGTTTGGAAACTGCTCCATCTAAAGGAATGTTCAGCTCTGTTAGTTCAATCCAATGATCACTAAGAATTGTCTGTGAATGCTTCCGTTTGGTTTTTAGATGAAGTTATTTCCTTTACTACAGTAGGGCTCAAAGCAGTCCAAATCTCCAATCGCAGATTCTACAAAAAGATTGTTTACAACCTGCTCTATCTATAGGAATGTTCAACTCTGTGAGTCGAATGCAATCATCACAAAGTAGTTTCTGAGAATGCTTCCATAAAGTTTTTACGTGAATATTTTCCTTTTCCACCACAGGCCTCAAAGCCCTCCAAATGTCCACTTGCAGATTCTAGAAAAAGAGGGTTTCAGAGCTGCTCTGTCAAGAGGAAAGTTCAATTCTTGTAGTGGAACACAAACATCACAAAGCAGTTTCTGAGAATGCTTCTGTTTAGTTTTTCTGTGAAGATGAACCCGTTTCCAACGAAATCTTCACAGAGGTCCACATATCCACTTGCAGAATCCAAAGAAAGAGAGTTTCAAAACTGCTCCATCAGCAGGATTGTTCACCTCTGTGAGTTGAATGCAGTCATCACAGGAAACATTCTGAGAATGCTTCTGTCTAGGTTTGATGTGAAGATATACCCGTTTCGAAGGAAGGCCACAAAGTGGTCCAAATATCCACTTGCAGATTCTACAAAAAGAGTGTTTGAAAGCTGAACTATGAAAGCAAGGTTCAACTCTGTGAGTTGAATGCAAACATCACAAAGAAGTTTCTCAGAATGCTTCCGTGTAGTTCTGGGAAGTTTATCCCGTTTCCAACGAAATCCTCAGAGAAGTCCAAATATCCACTTGCAGATTCTACAGAAAGTGTGTTTGGAAACTGCTCCATCTAAAGGAATGTTCAGCTCTGTTAGTTCAATCCAATGATCACTAAGAATTGTCTGTGAATGCTTCCGTTTGGTTTTTAGATGAAGTTATTTCCTTTACTACAGTAGGCCTCAAAGCAGTCCAAATCTCCAATCGCAGATTCTACAAAAAGATTGTTTACAACCTGCTCTATCTATAGGAATGTTCAACTCTGTGAGTCGAATGCAATCATCACAAAGTAGTTTCTGAGAATGCTTCCATCTAGTTTTTATGGGAAGATTTTCCTTTTCCACCACAGGCCTCAAAGCCCTCCAAATGTCCACTTGCAGATTCTAGAAAAAGAGGGTTTCAGAGCTGCTCTGTCAAGAGGAAAGTTCAATTCTTGAAGTGGAACACAAACATCACAAAACAGTTTCTGAGAATGCTTCTGTTTAGTTTTTCTGTGAAGATGAACCCGTTTCCAACCAAATCTTCACAGAGGTCCACATATCCACTTGCAGAATCCAAAGAAAGAGAGTTTCAAAACTGCTCCATCAACAGGATTGTTCACCTCTGTGAGTTGAATGCAGTCATCACAGGAAACATTCTGAGAATGCTTCTGTCTAGGTTTGATGTGAAGATATACCCGTTTCGAAGGAAGGCCACAAAGTGGTCCAAATATCCACTTGCAGATTCTACAAAAAGAGTGTTTGAAAGCTGAACTAAGAAAGCAAGGTTCAACTCTGTGAGTTGAATGCAAACATCACAAAGAAGTTTCTCAGAATGCTTCCGTGTAGTTCTGGGAAGTTTATCCCGTTTCCAACGAAATCCTCAGAGAAGTCCAAATATACACTTGCAGATTCTACAGAAAGTGTGTTTGGAAACTGCTCCATCTAAAGGAATGTTCAGCTCTGTTAGTTCAATCCAATGATCACTAAGAATTGTCTGTGAATGCTTCCGTTTGGTTTTAGATGAAGTTATTTCCTTTACTACAGTAGGCCTCAAAGCAGTCCAAATCTCCAATCGCAGATTCTACAAAAAGATTGTTTACAACCTGCTCTATCTATAGGAATGTTCAACTCTGTGAGTCGAATGCAATCATCACAAAGTAGTTTCTGAGAATGCTTCCATCTAGTTTTTATGTGAAGATTTTCCTTTTCCACCACAGGCCTCAAAGCCCTCCAAATGTCCACTTGCAGATTCTAGAATAAGAGGGTTTCAGAGCTGCTCTGTCAAGAGGAAAGTTCAATTCCTGAAGTGGAACACAAACATCACAAAGCAGTTTCTGAGAATGCTTCTGTTTAGTTTTTCTGTGAAGATGAACCCGTTTCCAACGAAATCTTCACAGAGGTCCACATATCCACTTGCAGAATCCAAAGAAAGAGAGTTTCAAAAGTGCTCCATCAACAGGATTGTTCACCTCTGTGAGTTGAATGCAGTCATCACAGGAAACATTCTGAGAATGCTTCTGTCTAGGTTTGATGTGAAGATATACCCGTTTCGAAGGAAGGCCACAAAGTGGTCTAAATATCCACTTGCAGATTCTACAAAAAGAGTGTTTGAAAGCTGAACTATGAAAGCAAGGTTCAACTCTGTGAGTTGAATGCAAACATCACAAAGAAGTTTCTCAGCATGCTTCCGTGTAGTTCTGGGAAGTTTATCCCGTTTCCAACGAAATCCTCAGAGAAGTCCAAATATCCACTTGCAGATTCTACAGAAAGTGTGTTTGGAAACTGCTCCATCTAAAGGAATGTTCAGCTCTGTTAGTTCAATCCAATGATCACTAAGAATTGTCTGTGAATGCTTCCGTTTGGTTTTTAGATGAAGTTATTTCCTTTACTACAGTAGGCCTCAAAGCAGTCCAAATCTCCAATCGCAGATTCTACAAAAAGATTGTTTACAACCTGCTCTATCTATAGGAATGTTCAACTCTGTGAGTCGAATGCAATCATCACAAAGTAGTTTCTGAGAATGCTTCCATCTAGTTTTTATGTGAAGATTTTCCTTTTCCACCACAGGCCTCAAAGCCCTCCAAATGTCCACTTGCAGATTCTAGAAAAAGAGGGTTTCAGAGCTGCTCTGTCAAGAGGAAAGTTCAATTCCTGAAGTGGAACACAAACATCACAAAGCAGTTTCTGAGAATGCTCCTGTTTAGTTTTTCTGTGAAGATGAACCCGTTTCCAACGAAATCTTCACAGAGGTCCACATATCCACTTGCAGAATCCAAAGAAAGAGAGTTTCAAAACTGCTCCATCAGCAGGATTGTTCACCTCTGTGAGTTGAATGCAGTCATCACAGGAAACATTCTGAGAATGCTTCTGTCTAGGTTTGATGTGAAGATATACCCGTTTCGAAGGAAGGCCACAAAGTGGTCCAAATATCCACTTGCAGATTCTACAAAAAGAGTGTTTGAAAGCTGAACTATGAAAGCAAGGTTCAACTCTGTGAGTTGAATGCAAACATCACAAAGAAGTTTCTCAGAATACTTCCGTGTAGTTCTGGGAAGTTTATCCCGTTTCCAAAGAAATCCTCAGAGAGGTCCAAATATCCACTTGCAGATTCTACAGAAAGTGTGTTTGGAAACTGCTCCATCTAAAGGAATGTTCAGCTCTGTTAGTTCAATCCAATGATCACTAAGAATTGTCTGTGAATGCTTCCGTTTGGTTTTTAGATGAAGTTATTTCCTTTACTACAGTAGGCCTCAAAGCAGTCCAAATCTCCAATCGCAGATTCTACAAAAAGATTGTTTTCAACCTGCTCTATCTATAGGAATGTTCAACTCTGTGAGTCGAATGCAATCATCACAAAGTAGTTTCTGAGAATGCTTCCATCTAGTTTTTATGTGAAGATTTTCCTTTTCCACCACAGGCCTCAAAGCCCTCCAAATGTCCACTTGCAGATTCTAGAAAAAGAGGGTTTCAGAGCTGCTCTGTCAAGAGGAAAGTTCAATTCTTGAAGTGGAACACAAACATCACAAAGTAGTTTCTGAGAATGCTCCTGTTTAGTTTTTCTGTGAAGATGAACCCGTTTCCAATGAAATCTTCACAGAGGTCCACATATCCACTTGCAGAATCCAAAGAAAGAGAGTTTCAAAACTGCTCCATCAACAGGATTGTTCACCTCTGTGAGTTGAATGCAGTCATCACAGGAAACATTCTGAGAATGCTTCTGTCTAGGTTTGATGTGAAGATATACCCGTTTCGAAGGAAGGCCACAAAGTGGTCCAAATATCCACTTGCAGATTCTACAAAGCAGTGTTTGAAAGCTGAACTATGAAAGCAAGGTTCAACTCTGTGAGTTGAATGCAAACATCACAAAGAAGTTTCTCACAATGCTTCCGTGTAGTTCTGGGAAGTTTATCCCTTTTCCAACGATATCCTCAGAGAGGTCCAAATATCCACTTGCAGATTCTACAGAAAGTGTGTTTGGAAACTGCGCCATCTAAAGCAATGTTCAGCTCTGTTAGTTCAATGCAATGATCACTAAGAATTGTCTGTGAATGCTTCCGTTTGGTTTTTAGATGAAGTTATTTCCTTTACTACAGTAGGCCTCAAAGCAGTCCAAATCTCCAATCGCAGATTCTACAAAAAGATTGTTTACAACCTGCTCTATCTATAGGAATGTTCAACTCTGTGAGTCGAATGCAATCATCACAAAGTAGTTTCTGAGAATGCTTCCATCTAGTTTTTATGTGAAGATTTTCCTTTTCCACCACAGGCCTCAAAGCCCTCCAAATGTCCACTTGCAGATTCTAGAAAAAGAGGTTTTCAGAGCTGCTCTGTCAAGAGGAAAGTTCAATTCTTGAAGTGGAACACAAACATCACAAAGCAGTTTCTGAGAATGCTCCTGTTTAGTTTTTCTGTGAAGATGAACCCGTTTCCAACGAAATCTTCACAGAGGTCCACATATCCACTTGCAGAATCCAAAGAAAGAGAGTTTCAAAACTGCTCCATCAGCAGGATTGTTCACCTCTGTGAGTTGAATGCAGTCATCACAGGAAACATTCTGAGAATGCTTCTGTCTAGGTTTGATGTGAAGATATACCCGTTTCGAAGGAAGGCCACAAAGTGGTCCAAATATCCACTTGCAGATTCTACAAAAAGAGTGTTTGAAAGCTGAACTATGAAAGCAAGGTTCAACTCTGTGAGTTGAATGCAAACATCACAAAGAAGTTTCTCACAATGCTTCCGTGTAGTTCTGGGAAGTTTATCCCGTTTCCAACGAAATCCTCAGAGAAGTCCAAATATCCACTTGCAGATTCTACAGAAAGTGGGTTTGGAAACTGCTCCATCTAAAGGAATGTTCAGCTCTGTTAGTTCAATCCAATGATCACTAAGAATTGTCTGTGAATGCTTCCGTTTGGTTTTTAGATGAAGTAATTTCCTTTACTACAGTAGGCCTCAAAGCAGTCCAAATCTCCAATCGCAGATTCTACAAAAAGATTGTTTACAACCTGCTCTATCTATAGGAATGTTCAACTCTGTGAGTCGAATGCAATCATCACAAAGAAGTTTCTGAGAATGCTTCCATAAAGTTTTTATGTGAAGATTTTCCTTTACCACCACAGGCCTCAAAGCCCTCCAAATGTCCACTTGCAGATTCTAGAAAAAGAGGGTTTCAGAGCTGCTCTGTCAAGAGGAAAGTTCAATTCTTTAAGTGGAACACAAACATCACAAAGCAGTTTCTGAGAATGCTCCTGTTTAGTTTTTCTGTGAAGATGAACCCGTTTCCAACGAAATCTTCACAGAGGTCCACATATCCACTTGCAGAATCCAAAGAAAGAGAGTTTCAAAACTGCTCCATCAGCAGGATTGTTCACCTCTGTGAGTTGAATGCAGTCATCACAGGAAACATTCTGAGAATGCTTCTGTCTAGGTTTGATGTGAAGATATACCCGTTTCGAAGGAAGGCCACAAAGTGGTCCAAATATCCACTTGCAGATTCTATAAAAAGAGTGTTTGAAAGCTGAACTATGAAAGCAAGGTTCAACTCTGTGAGTTGAATGCAAACATCACAAAGAAGTTTCTCACAATGCTTCCGTGTAGTTCTGGGAAGTTTATCCCGTTTCCAACGAAATCCTCAGAGAGGTCCAAATATCCACTTGCAGATTCTACAGAAAGTGTGTTTGGAAACTGCGCCATCTAAAGGAATGTTCAGCTCTGTTAGTTCAATGCAATGATCACTAAGAATTGTCTGTGAATGCTTCCGTTTGGTTTTTAGATGAAGTTATTTCCTTTACTACAGTAGGCCTCAAAGCAGTCCAAATCTCCAATCGCAGATTCTACAAAAAGATTGTTTACAACCTGCTCTATCTATAGGAATGTTCAACTCTGTGAGTCGAATGCAATCATCACAAAGGAGTTTCTGAGAATGCTTCCATCTAGTTTTTATGTGAAGATTTTCCTTTTCCACCACAGGCCTCAAAGCCCTCCAAATGTCCACTTGCAGATTCTAGAAAAAGAGGGTTTCAGAGCTGCTCTGTCAAGAGGAAAGTTCAATTCTTGAAGTGGAACACAAACATCACAAAGCAGTTTCTGAGAATGCTTCTGTTTAGTTTTTCTGTGAAGATGAACCAGTTTCCAACGAAATCTTCACAGAGGTCCACATATCCACTTGCAGAATCCAAAGAAAGAGAGTTTCAAAACTGCTCCATTACCAGGATTGTTCACCTCTGTGAGTTGAATGCAGTCATCACAGGAAACATTCTGAGAATGCTTCTGTCTAGGTTTGATGTGAAGATATACCCTTTTCAAAGGAAGGCCACAAAGTGGTCCAAATATCCACTTGCAGATTCTACAAAAAGAGTGTTTGAAAGCTGAACTATGAAAGCAAGGTTCAACTCTGTGAGTTGAATGCAAACATCACAAAGAAGTTTCTCACAATGCTTCCGTGTAGTTCTGGGAAGTTTATCCCGTTTCCAACGAAATCCTCAGAGAAGTCCAAATATCCACTTGCAGATTCTACAGAAAGTGTGTTTGGAAACTGCTCCATCTAAGGGAATGTTCAGCTCTGTTAGTTCAATCCAACGATCACTAAGAATTGTCTGTGAATGCTTCCGTTTGGTTTTTAGATGAAGTAGTTTCCTTTACTACAGAAGGCCTCAAAGCAGTCCAAATCTCCAATCGCAGATTCTACAAAAAGATTGTTTACAACCTGCTCTATCTATAGGAATGTTCAACTCTGTGAGTCGAATGCAATCATCACAAAGAAGTTTCTGAGAATGCTCCATAAAGTTTTTATGTGAAGATTTTCCTTTTCCACCACAGGCCTCAAAGCCCTCCAAATGTCCACTTGCAGATTCTAGAAAAAGAGGGTTTCAGAGCTGCTCTGTCAAGAGGAAAGTTCAATTCTTTAAGTGGAACACAAACATCACAAAGCAGTTTCTGAGAATGCTCCCTGTTTAGTTTTTCTGTGAAGATGAACCCGTTTCCAACGAAATCTTCACAGAGGTCCACATATCCACTTGCAGAATCCAAAGAAAGAGAGTTTCAAAACTGCTCCATCAGCAGGATTGTTCACCTCTGTGAGTTGAATGCAGTCATCACAGGAAACATTCTGAGAATGCTTCTGTCTAGGTTTGATGTGAAGATATACCCGTTTCAAAGGAAGGCCACAAAGTGGTCCAAATATCCACTTGCAGATTCTACAAAAAGAGTGTTTGAAAGCTGAACTATGAAAGCAAGGTTCAACTCTGTGAGTTGAATGCAAACATCACAAAGAAGTTTCTCACAATGCTTCCGTGTAGTTCTGGGAAGTATATCCCTTTTCCAACGAAATCCTAAGAGAAGTCCAAATATCCACTTGCAGATTCTACAGAAAGTGGGTTTGGAAACTGCGCCATCTAAAGGAATGTTCAGCTCTGTTAGTTCAATGCAATGATCACTAAGAATTGTCTGTGAATGCTTCCGTTTGGTTTTTAGATGAAGTTATTTCCTTTACTACAGTAGGCCTCAAAGCAGTCCAAATCTCCAATCGCAGATTCTACAAAAAGATTGTTTACAACCTGCTCTATCTATAGGAATGTTCAACTCTGTGAGTCGAATGCAATCATCACAAAGTAGTTTCTGAGAATGCTTCCATCTAGTTTTTATGTGAAGATTTTCCTTTTCCACCACAGGCCTCAAAGCCCTCCAAATGTCCACTTGCAGATTCTAGAAAAAGAGGGTTTCAGAGCTGCTCTGTCAAGAGGAAAGTTCAATTCTTGAAGTGGAACACAAACATCACAAAGCAGTTTCTGAGAATGCTTCTGTTTAGTTTTTCTGTGAAGATGAACCCGTTTCCAACGAAATCTTCACAGAGGTCCACATATCAACTTGCAGAATCCAAAGAAAGAGAGTTACAAAACTGCTCCATCAACAGGATTGTTCACCTCTGTGAGTTGAATGCAGTCATCACAGGAAACATTCTGAGAATGCTTCTGTCTAGGTTTGATGTGAAGATATACCCGTTTCAAAGGAAGGCCACAAAGTGGTCCAAATATCCACTTGCAGATTCTACAAAAAGAGTGTTTGAAAGCTGAACTATGAAAGCAAGGTTCAACTCTGTGAGTTGAATGCAAACATCACAAAGAAGTTTCTCACAATGCTTCCGTGTAGTTCTGGGAAGTATATCCCTTTTCCAACGAAATCCTAAGAGAAGTCCAAATATCCACTTGCAGATTCTACAGAAAGTGGGTTTGGAAACTGCGCCATCTAAAGCAATGTTCAGCTCTGTTAGTTCAATGCAATGATCACTAAGAATTGTCTGTGAATGCTTCCGTTTGGTTTTTAGATGAAGTTATTTCCTTTACTACAGTAGGCCTCAAAGCAGTCCAAATCTCCAATCGCAGATTCTACAAAAAGATTGTTTACAACCTGCTCTATCTATAGGAATGTTCAACTCTGTGAGTCGAATGCAATCATCACAAAGTAGTTTCTGAGAATGCTTCCATCTAGTTTTTATGTGAAGATTTTCGTTTTCCACCACAGGCCTCAAAGCCCTCCAAATGTCCACTTGCAGATTCTAGAAAAAGAGGGTTTCAGAGCTGCTCTGTCAAGAGGAAAGTTCAATTCTTGAAGTGGAACACAAACATCACAAAGCAGTTTCTGAGAATGCTCCTGTTTAGTTTTTCTGTGAAGATGAACCCGTTTCCAACGAAATCTTCACAGAGGTCCACATATCCACTTGCAGAATCCAAAGAAAGAGAGTTTCAAAACTGCTCCAACAGCAGGATTGTTCACCTCTGTGAGTTGAATGCAGTCACCACAGGAAACATTCTGAGAATGCTTCTGTCTAGGTTTGATGTGAAGATATACCCGTTTCGAAGGAAGGCCACAAAGTGGTCCAAATATCCACTTGCAGATTCTACAAAAAGAGTGTTTGAAAGCTGAACTATGAAAGCAAGGTTCAACTCTGTGAGTTGAATGCAAACATCACAAAGAAGTTTCTCAGAATGCTTCCGTGTAGTTCTGGGAAGTTTATCCCGTTTCCAACGAAATCCTCAGAGAGGTCCAAATATCCACTTGCAGATTCTACAGAAAGTGTGTTTGGAAACTGCGCCATCTAAAGGAATGTTCAGCTCTGTTAGTTCAATGCAATGATCACTAAGAATTGTCTGTGAATCCTTCCGTTTGGTTTTTAGATGAAGTTATTTCCTTTACTACAGTAGGCCTCAAAGTAGTCCAAATCTCTAATCGCAGATTCTACAAAGAGATTGTTTACAACCTGCTCTCTCTATAGGAATGTTCAACTCTGTGAGTCGAATGCAATCATCACAAAGTAGTTTCTGAGAATCCTTCCATCTAGTTTTTATTTGAAGATTTTCCTTTTCCACCACAGGCCTCAAAGCCCTCCAAATGTCCACTTGCAGATTCTAGAAAAAGAGGGTTTCAGAGCTGCTCTGTCAAGAGGAAAGTTCAATTCCTGAAGTGGAACACAAACATCACAAAGCAGTTTCTGAGAATGCTCCTGTTTAGTTTCTCTGTGAAGATGAACCCTTTTCCAACGAAATCTTCACAGAGGTCCACAAATCCACTTGCAGAATCCAAAGAAAGAGAGTTTCAAAACTGCTCCATCAGCAGGATTGTTCACCTCTGTGAGTTGAATGCAGTCATCACAGGAAACATTCTGAGAATGCTTCTGTCTAGGTTTGATGTGAAGATATACCCGTTTCGAAGGAAGGCCACAAAGTGGTCCAAATATCCACTTGCAGATTCTACAAAAAGAGTGTTTCAAAGCTGAACTATGAAAGCAAGGTTCAACTCTGTGAGTTGAATGCAAACATCACAAAGAAGTTTCTCAGAATGCTTCCGTGTAGTTCTGGGAAGTTTATCCCGTTTCCAACGAAATCCTCAGAGAGGTCCAAATATCCACTTGCAGATTCTACAGAAAGTGTGTTTGGAAACTGCGCCATCTAAGGGAATGTTCAGCTCTGTTAGTTCAATCCAATGATCACTAAGAATTGTCTGTGAATGCTTCCGTTTGGTTTTTAGATGAAGTTATTTCCTTTACTACAGTAGGCCTCAAAGCAGTCCAAATCTCCAATCGCAGATTCTACAAAAAGATTGTTTACAACCTGCTCTATCTATAGGAATGTTCAACTCTGTGAGTCGAATGCAATCATCACAAAGTAGTTTCTGAGAATGCTTCCATCTAGTTTTTATGTGAAGATTTTCCTTTTCCACCACAGGCCTCAAAGCCCTCCAAATGTCCACTTGCAGATTCTAGAATAAGAGGATTTCAGAGCTGCTCTGTCAAGAGGAAAGTTCAATTCCTGAAGTGGAACACAAACATCACAAAGCAGTTTCTGAGAATGCTTCTGTTTAGTTTTTCTGTGAAGATGAACCCGTTTCCAACGAAATCTTCACAGAGGTCCACATATCCACTTGCAGAATCCAAAGAAAGAGAGTTTCAAAACTGCTCCATCAGCAGGATTGTTCACCTCTGTGAGTTGAATGCAGTCATCACAGGAAACATTCTGAGAATGCTTCTGTCTAGGTTTGATGTGAAGATATACCCGTTTCGAAGGAAGACCACAAAGTGGTCCAAATATCCACTTGCAGATTCTACAAAAAGAATGTTTGAAAGCTGAACTATGAAAGCAAGGTTCAACTCTGTGAGTTGAATGCAAACATCACAAAGAAGTTTCTCACAATGCTTCCGTGTAGTTCTGGGAAGTTTATCCCGTTTCCAACGAAATCCTCAGAGAGGTCCAAATATCCACTTGCAGATTCTACAGAAAGTGTGTTTGGAAACTGCGCCATCTAAAGGAATGTTCAGCTCTGTTAGTTCAATGCAATGATCACTAAGAATTGTCTGTGAATGCTTCCGTTTGGTTTTTAGATGAAGTTATTTCCTTTACTACAGTAGGCCTCAAAGCAGTCCAAATCTCCAATCGCAGATTCTACAAAAAGATTGTTTACAACCTGCTCTATCTATAGGAATGTTCAACTCTGTGAGTCGAATGCAATCATCACAAAGTAGTTTCTGAGAATGCTTCCATCTAGTTTTTATGTGAAGATTTTCCTTTTCCACCACAGGCCTCAAAGCCCTCCAAATGTCCACTTGCAGATTCTAGAAAAAGAGGGTTTCAGAGCTGCTCTGTCAAGAGGAAAGTTCAATTCTTGAAGTGGAACACAAACATCACAAAGCAGTTTCTGAGAATGCTCCTGTTTAGTTTTTCTGTGAAGATGAACCCGTTTCCAACGAAATCTTCAAAGAGGTTCACATATCCACTTGCAGAATCCAAAGAAAGAGAGTTTCAAAACTGCTCCATCAGCAGGATTGTTCACCTCTGTGAGTTGAATGCAGTCATCACAGGAAACATTCTGAGAATGCTTCTGTCTAGGTTTGATGTGAAGATATACCCGTTTCGAAGGAAGGCCACAAAGTTGTCCAAATATCCACTTGCAGATTCTACAAAAAGAGTGTTTGAAAGCTGAACTATGAAAGCAAGGTTCAACTCTGTGAGTTGAATGCAAACATCACAAAGAAGTTTCTCAGAATGCTTCCGTGTAGTGATGGGAAATTTATCCCGTTTCCAACGAAATCCTCACAGAGGTCCAAATATCCACTTGCGGATTCTACAGAAAGTGTGTTTGGAAACTGCTCCATCTAAAGGAATGTTCAGCTCTGTTAGTTCAATCCAATGATCACTAAGAATTGTCTGTGAATGCTTCCGTTTGGTTTTTAGATGAAGTTATTTCCTTTACTACAGTAGGCCTCAAAGCAGTCCAAATCTCCAATCGCAGATTCTACAAAAAGATTGTTTACAACCTGCTCTATCTATAGGAATGTTCAACTCTGTGAGTCGAATGCAATCATCACAAAGTAGTTTCTGAGAATGCTTCCATCTAGTTTTATGTGAAGATTTTCCTTTTCCACCACAGGCCTCAAAGCCCTCCAAATGTCCACTTGCAGATTCTAGAAAAAGAGGGTTTCAGAGCTGCTCTGTCAAGAGGAAAGTTCAATTCCTGAAGTGGAACGCAAACATCACAAAGCAGTTTCTGAGAATGCTTCTGTTTAGTTTTTCTGTGAAGATGAACCCGTTTCCAACGAAATCTTCACAGAGGTCCACATATCCACTTGCAGAATCCAAAGAAAGAGAGTTTCAAAACTGCTCCATCAGCAGGATTGTTCACCTCTGTGAGTTGAATGCAGTCATCACAGGAAACATTCTGAGAATGCTTCTGTCTAGGTTTGATGTGAAGATATACCCGTTTCGAAGGAAGGCCAGAAAGTGGTCCAAATATCCACTTGCAGATTCTACAAAAAGAGTGTTTGAAAGCTGAACTATGAAAGCAAGGTTCAACTCTGTGAGTTGAATGCAAACATCACAAAGAAGTTTCTCAGAATGCTTCCGTGTAGTTCTGGGAAGTTTATCCCGTTTCCAACGAAATCCTCAGAGAGGTCCAAATATCCACTTGCAGATTCTACAGAAAGTGTGTTTGGAAACTGCGCCATCTAAAGGAATGTTCAGCTCTGTTAGTTCAATCCAATGATCACTAAGAATTGTCTGTGAATGCTTCCGTTTGGTTTTTAGATGAAGTTATTGCCTTTACTACAAGTAGGCCTCAAAGCAGTCCAAATCTCCAATCGCAGATTCTACAAAAAGATTGTTTACAACCTGCTCTATCTATAGGAATGTTCAACTCTGTGAGTCGAATGCAATCATCACAAAGTAGTTTCTGAGAATGCTTCCATCTAGTTTTTATGTGAAGATTTTCCTTTTCCACCACAGGCCTCAAAGCCCTCCAAGTGTCCACTTGCAGACTCTAGAAAAAGAGGGTTTCAGAGCTGCTCTCTCAAGAGGAAAGTTCAATTCTTGAAGTGGAACACAAACATCACAAAGCTGTTTCTGAGAATGCTTCTGTTTAGTTTTTCTGTGAAGATGAACCCGTTTCCAACGAAATGTTCTCAGAGGTCCACATATCAACTTGCAGAATCCAAAGAAAGAGAGTTTCAAAAGTGCTCCATCAACAGGATTGTTCACCTCTGTGAGTTGAATGCAGTCATCACAGGAAACATTCT
Organism: Homo sapiens; assembly: GCF_000001405.40. Classification (NCBI taxonomy): domain Eukaryota; kingdom Metazoa; phylum Chordata; class Mammalia; order Primates; family Hominidae; genus Homo; species Homo sapiens. The sequence goes on along the minus strand of NC_000011.10, from coordinate 51,653,937 downwards.
GAGAATGCTTCTGTCTAGGTTTGATGTGAAGATATACCCGTTTCGAAGGAAGGCCACAAAGTGGTCCAAATATCCACTTGCAGATTCCACAAAAAGAGTGTTTGAAAGCTGAACTATGAAAGCAAGGTTCAACTCTGTGAGTTGAATGCAAACATCACAAAGAAGTTTCTCACAATGCTTTCCGTGTAGTTCTGGGAAGTTTATCCCGTTTCCAAAGAAATCCTCAGAGAGGTCCAAATATCCACTTGCAGATTCTACAGACAGTGTGTTTGGAAACTGCTCCATCTAAAGGAATGTTCAGCTCTGTTAGTTCAATCCAATGATCACTAAGAATTGTCTGTGAATGCTTCCGTTTGGTTTTTAGATGAAGTTATTTCCTTTACTACAGTAGGACTCAAAGCAGTCCAAATCTCCAATCGCAGATTCTACAAAAAGATTGTTTTCAACCTGCTCTATCTATAGGAATGTACAACTCTGTGAGTCGAATGCAATCATCACAAAGTAGTTTCTGAGAATGCTTCCATCTAGTTTTTATGTGAAGATTTTCCTTTTCCACCACAGGCCTCAAAGCCCTCCAAATGTCCACTTGCAGATTCTAGAAAAAGAGGGTTTCAGAGCTGCTCTGTCAAGAGGAAAGTTCAATTCCTGAAGTGGAACACAAACATCACAAAGCAGTTTCCTGAGAATGCTTCTGTTTAGTTTTTCTGTGAAGATGAACCCGTTTCCAACGAAATCTTCACAGAGGTCCACATATCAACTTGCAGAATCCAAAGAAAGAGAGTTTCAAAAGTGCTCCATCAACAGGATTGTTCACCTCTGTGAGTTGAATGCAGTCATCACAGGAAACATTCTGAGAATGCTTCTGTCTAGGTTTGATGTGAAGATATACCCGTTTCGAAGGAAGGCCACAAAGTGGTCCAAATATCCACTTGCAGATTCTACAAAAAGAGTGTTTGAAAGCTGAACTATGAAAGCAAGGTTCAACTCTGTGAGTTGAATGCAAACATCACAAAGAAGTTTCTCAGAATGCTTCCGTGTAGTTCTGGGAAGTTTATCCCGTTTCCAACGAAATCCTCAGAGAGGTCCAAATATCCACTTGCAGATTCTACAGAAAGTGTGTTTGGAAACTGCGCCATCTAAGGGAATGTTCAGCTCTGTTAGTTCAATCCAATGATCACTAAGAATTGTCTGTGAATGCTTCCGTTTGGTTTTTAGATGAAGTTATTTCCTTTACTACGGTAGGCCTCAAAGCAGTCCAAATCTCCTATTGCAGATTCTACAAAAAGATTGTTTACAACCTGCTCTATCTATAGGAATGTTCAACTCTTTGAGTCGAATGCAATCATCACAAAGTAGTTTCTGAGAATTCTTCCATCTAGTTTTTATGTGAAGATTTTCCTTTTCCACCACAGGCCTCAAAGCCCTCCAAATGTCCACTTGCAGATTCTAGAAAAAGAGGGTTTCAGAGCTGCTCTGTCAAGAGGAAAGTTCAATTCCTGAAGTGGAACACAAACATCACAAAGCAGTTTCTGAGAATGCTCCTGTTTAGTTTTTCTGTGAAGATGAACCCGTTTCCAACGAAATCTTCACAGAGGTCCACATATCCACTTGCAGAATCCAAAGAAACAGAGTTTCAAAACTGCTGCATCAGCAGGATTGTTCACCTCTGTGAGTTGAATGCAGTCATCACAGGAAACATTCTGAGAATGCTTCTGTCAAGGTTTGATGTGAAGATATACCCGTTTCGAAGGAAGGCCACAAAGTGGTCCAAATATCCACTTGCAGATTCTACAAAAAGAGTGTTTGAAAGCTGAACTATGAAAGCAAGGTTCAACTCTGTGAGTTGAATGCAACCATCACAAAGAAGTTTCTCAGAATACTTCCGTGTAGTTCTGGGAAGCATATCCCGTTTCCAACGAAATCCTCAGAGAAGTCCAAATATCCATTTGCAGATTCTACAGAAAGTGGGTTTGGAAACTGCGCCATCTAAAAGTATGTTCAGCTCTGTTAGTTCAATGCAATGATCACTAAGAATTGTCTGTGAATGCTTCCGTTTGGTTTTTAGATGAAGTTATTTCCGTTACTACAGTAGGCCTCAATGCAGTCCAAATCTCCAATCGCAGATTCTACAAAAAGATTGTTTACAACCTGCTCTATCTATAGGAATGTTCAACTCTGTGAGTCGAATGCAATCATCACAAAGTAGTTTCTGAGAATGCTTTCCATCTATTTTTTATGTGAAGATTTTCCTTTTCCACCACAGGCCTCAAAGCCCTCCAAATGTCCACTTGCAGATTCTAGAGAAAGAGGGTTTCAGAGCTGCTCTGTCAAGAGGAAAGTTCAATTCTTGAAGTGGAACACAAACATCACAAAGCAGTTTCTGAGAATGCTCCTGTTTAGTTTTTCTGTGAAGATGAACCCGTTTCCAACGAAATCTTCACAGAGGTCCACATATCCACTTGCAGAATCCAAAGAAAGAGAGTTTCAAAACTGCTCCATCAACAGGATTGTTCACCTCTGTGAGTTGAATGCAGTCATCACAGGAAACATTCTGAGAATGCTTCTGTCTAGGTTTGATGTGAAGATATACCCGTTTCGAAGGAAAGGCCACAAAGTGGTCCAAATATCCACTTGCAGATTCTACAAAAGGAGTGTTTGAAAGCTGAACTATGAAAGCAAGGTTCAACTCTGTGAGTTGAATGCAAACATCACAAAGAAGTTTCTCAGAATGCTTCCCTGTAGTTCTGGGAAGTTTATCCCGTTTCCAACGAAATCCTCAGAGAAGTCCAAATATCCACTTGCAGATTCTACAGAAAGTGGGTTTGGAAACTGCTCCATCTAAAGGAATGTTCAGCTCTGTTAGTTCAATGCAATGATCACTAAGAATTGTCTGTGAATGCTTCCGTTTGGTTTTTAGATGAAGTTATTTCCTTTACTACAGTAGGCCTCAAAGCAGTCCAAATCTCCAATCGCAGATTCTACAAAAAGATTGTTTACAACCTGCTCTATCTATAGGAATATTCAACTCTGTGAGTCGAATGCAATCATCACAAAGTAGTTTCTGAGAATGCTTCCATCTAGTTTTTATGTGAAGATTTTCCTTTTGCACCACAGGCCTCAAAGCCCTCCAAATGTCCACTTGCAGATTCTAGAAAAAGAGGGTTTCAGAGCTGCTCTGTCAAGAGGAAAGTTCAATTCTTGAAGTGGAACACAAGCATCACAAAGCAGTTTCTGAGAATGCTCCTGTTTAGTTTTTCTGTGAAGATGAACCCGTTTCCAACGAAATCTTCACAGAGGTCCACATATCCACTTGCAGAATCCAAAGAAAGAGAGTTTCAAAACTGCTCCATCAGCAGGATTGTTCACCTCTGTGAGTTGAATGCAGTCATCACAGGAAACATTCTGAGAATGCTTCTGTCTAGGTTTGATGTGAAGATATACCCGTTTCGAAGGAAGGCCACAAAGTGGTCCAAATATCCACTTGCAGATTCTACAAAAAGAGTGTTTGAAAGCTGAACTATGAAAGCAAGGTTCAACTCTGTGAGTTGAATGCAAACATCAAAAAGAAGTTTCTCACAATGCTTCCGTGTAGTTCTGGGAAGTTTATCCCGTTTCCAACGAAATCCTCAGAGAAGTCCAAATATCCACTTGCAGATTCTACAGAAAGTGTGTTTGGAAACTGCGCCATCTAAAGGAATGTTCAGCTCTGTTAGTTCAATGCAATGATCACTAAGAATTGTCTGTGAATGCTTTCCGTTTGGTTTTTAGATGAAGTTATTTCCTTTACTACAGTAGGCCTCAAAGCAGTCCAAATCTCCAATCGCAGATTCTACAAAAAGATTGTTTACAACCTGCTCTATCTATAGGAATGTTCAACTCTGTGAGTCGAATGCAATCATCACAAAGTAGTTTCTGAGAATGCTTCCATCTAGTTTTTATGTGAAGATTTTCCTTTTCCACCACAGGCCTCAAAGCCCTCCAAATGTCCACTTGCAGATTCTAGAAAAAGAGGGTTTCAGAGCTGCTCTGTCAAGAGGAAAGTTCAATTCTTGAAGTGGAACACAAACATCACAAAGCAGTTTCTGAGAATGCTCCTGTTTAGTTTTTCTGTGAAGATGAACCCGTTTCCAACGAAATCTTCACAGAGGTCCACATATCCACTTGCAGAATCCAAAGAAAGAGAGTTTCAAAACTGCTCCATCAACAGGATTGTTCACCTCTGTGAGTTGAATGCAGTCATCACAGGAAACATTCTGAGAATGCTTCTGTCTAGGTTTGATGTGAAGATATACCCGTTTCGAAGGAAGGCCACAAAGTGGTCCAAATATCCACTTGCAGATTCTACAAAAAGAGTGTTTGAAAGCTGAACTATGAAAGCAAGGTTCAACTCTGTGAGTTGAATGCAAACATCACAAAGAAGTTTCTCAGAATGCTTCCGTGTAGTTCTGGGAAGTTTTCCCGTTTCCAACGAAATCCTCAGAGAAGTCCAAATATCCACTTGCAGATTCTACAGAAAGTGTGTTTGGAAACTGCTCCATCTAAAGGAATGTTCAGCTCTGTTAGTTCAATCCAATGATCACTAAGAATTGTCTGTGAATGCTTCCGTTTGGTTTTTAGATGAAGTTATTTCCTTTACTACAGTAGGCCTCAAAGCAGTCCAAATCTCCAATCGCAGATTCTACAAAAAGATTGTTTACAACCTGCTCTATCTATAGGAATGTTCAACTCTGTGAGTCGAATGCAATCATCACAAAGTAGTTTCTGAGAATGCTTCCATCTAGTTTTTATGTGAAGATTTTCCTTTTCCACCACAGGCCTCAAAGCCCTCCAAATGTCCACTTGCAGATTCTAGAATAAGAGGGTTTCAGAGCTGCTCTGTCAAGAGGAAAGTTCAATTCCTGAAGTGGAACACAAACATCACAAAGCAGTTTCTGAGAATGCTTCTGTTTAGTTTTTCTGTGAAGATGAACCCGTTTCCAACGAAATCTTCACAGAGGTCCACATATCCACTTGCAGAATCCAAAGAAAGAGAGTTTCAAAACTGCTCCATCAGCAGGATTGTTGACCTCTGTGAGTTGAATGCAGTCATCACAGGAAACATTCTGAGAATGCTTCTGTCTAGGTTTGATGTGAAGATATACCCGTTTCGAAGGAAGGCCACAAAGTGGTCCAAATATCCACTTGCAGATTCTACAAAAAGAGTGTTTGAAAGCTGAACTATGAAAGCAAGGTTCAACTCTGTGAGTTGAATGCAAACATGACAAAGAAGTTTCTCAGAATGCTTCCGTGTAGTTCTGGGAAGTTTATCCCGTTTCCAACGAAATCCTCAGAGAAGTCCAAATATCCACTTGCAGATTCTACACAAAGTGTGTTTGGAAAGTGCTCCATCTAAAGGAATGTTCAGCTCTGTTAGTTCAATCCAATATCACTAAGAATTATCTGTGAATGCTTCCGTTTGGTTTTTAGATGAAGTTATTTCCTTTACTACAGTAGGCCTCAAAGCAGTCCAAATCTCCAATCGCAGATTCTACAAAAAGATTGTTTACAACCTACTCTATCTATACGAATGTTCAACTCTGTGAGTCGAATGCAATCGTCACAAAGTAGTTTCTGAGAATGCTTCCATCTAGTTTTTATGTGAAGATTTTCTTTTTCCACCACAGGCCTCAAAGCCCTCCAAATGTCCACTTGCAGATTCTAGAATAAGAGGGTTTCAGAGCTGCTCTGTCAAGAGGAAAGTTCAATTCCTGAAGTGGAACACAAACATCACAAAGCAGTTTCTGAGAATGCTTCTGTTTAGTTTTTCTGTGAAGATGAACCCGTTTCCAACGAAATCTTCACAGAGGTCCACATATCCACTTGCAGAATCCAAAGAAAGAGAGTTTCAAAACTGCTCCATCAGCAGGATTGTTCACCTCTGTGAGTTGAATGCAGTCATCACAGGAAACATTCTGAGAATGCTTCTGTCTAGGTTTGATGTGAAGATATACCCGTTTCGAAGGAAGGCCACAAAGTGGTCCAAATATCCACTTGCAGATTCTACAAAAAGAGTGTTTGAAAGCTGAACTGTGAAAGCAAGGTTCAACTCTGTGAGTTGAATGCCAACATCACAAAGAAGTTTCTCACAATGCTTCCGTGTAGTTCTGGGAAGTTTATCCCGTTTCCAACGAAATCCTCAGAGAAGTCCAAATATCCACTTGCAGATTCTACAGAAAGTGGGTTTGGAAACTGCGCCATCTAAAGGAATGTTCAGCTCTGTTAGTTCAATGCAATGATCACTAAGAATTGTCTGTGAATGCTTCCGTTTGGTTTTTAGATGAAGTTATTTCCTTTACTACAGTAGGCCTCAAAGCAGTCCAAATCTCCAATCGCAGATTCTACAAAAAGATTGTTTACAACCTGCTCTATCTATAGGAATGTTCAACTCTGTGAGTCGAATGCAATCATCACAAAGTAGTTTCTGAGAATGCTTCCATCTAGTTTTTATGTGAAGATTTTCCTTTTCCACCACAGGCCTCAAAGCCCTCCAAATGTCCACTTGCAGATTCTAGAAAAAGAGGGTTTCAGAGCTGCTCTGTCAAGAGGAAAGTTCAATTCTTGAAGTGGAACACAAACATCACAAAGCAGTTTCTGAGAATGCTTCTGTTTAGTTTTTCTGTGAAGATGAACCCGTTTCCAACGAAATCTTCACAGAGGTCCACATATCCACTTGCAGAATCCAAAGAAAGAGAGTTTCAAAACTGCTCCATCAGCAGGATTGTTCACCTCTGTGAGTTGAATGCAGTCATCACAGGAAACATTCTGAGAATGCTTCTGTCTAGGTTTGATGTGAAGATATACCCGTTTCGAAGGAAGGCCACAAAGTGGTCCAAATATCCACTTGCAGATTCTACAAAAAGAGTGTTTGAAAGCTGAACTATGAAACCAAGGTTCAACTCTGTGAGTTGAATGCAAACATCACAAAGAATTTTCTCACAATGCTTCCGTGTAGTTCTGGGAAGTTTATCCCGTTTCCAACGAAATCCTCAGAGAGGTCCAAATATCCACTTGCAGATTCTACAGAAAGTGTGTTTGGAAACTGCGCCATCTACAGGAATGTTCAGCTCTGTTAGTTCAATGCAATGATCACTAAGAATTGTCTGTGAATGCTTCCGTTTGGTTTTTAGATGAAGTTATTTCCTTTACTACAGTAGGCCTCAAAGCAGTCCAAATCTCCAATCGCAGATTCTACAAAAAGATTGTTTACAACCTGCTCTATCTATAGGAATGTTCAACTCTGTGAGTCGAATGCAATCATCACAAAGTAGTTTCTGAGAATGCTTCCATCTAGTTTTTATGTGAAGATTTTCCTTTTCCACCACAGACCTCAAAGCCCTCCAAATGTCCACTTGCAGATTCTAGAAAAAGAGGGTTTCAGAGCTGCTCTGTCAAGGGGAAAGTTCAATTCATGAAGTGGAACACAAACAACACAAAGCAGTTTCTGAGAATGCTCCTGTTTAGTTTTTCTGTGAAGATGAACCCGTTTCCAACGAAATCTTCACAGAGGTCCACATATCCACTTGCAGAATCCAAAGAAAGAGAGTTTCAAAACTGCTCCATCAGCAGGATTGTTCACCTCTGTGAGTTGAATGCAGTCATCACAGGAAACATTCTGAGAATGCTTCTGTCTAGGTTTGATGTGAAGATATACCCGTTTCGAAGGAAGGCCACAAAGTGGTCCAAATATCCACTTGCAGATTCTACAAAAAGAGTGTTTGAAAGCTGAACTATGAAAGCAAGGTTCAACTCTGTGAGTTGAATGCAAACATCACAAAGAAGTTTCTCACAATGCTTCCGTGTAGTTCTGGGAAGTTTATCCCGTTTCCAACGAAATCCTTAGAGAGGTCCAAATATCCACTTGCAGATTCTACAGAAAGTGTGTTTGGAAACTGCGCCATCTAAAGGAATGTTCAGCTCTGTTAGTTCAATCCAATGATCACTAAGAATTGTCTGTGAATGCTTCCGTTTGGTTTTTAGATGAAGTTATTTCCTTTACTACAGTAGGCCTCAAAGCAGTCCAAATCTCCAATCGCAGATTCTACAAAAAGATTGTTTACAACCTGCTCTATCTATAGGAATGTTCAACTCTGTGAGTCGAATGCAATCATCACAAAGTAGTTTCTGAGAATGCTTCCATCTAGTTTTTATGTGAAGATTTTCCTTTTCCACCACAGGCCTCAAAGCCCTCCAAATGTCCACTTGCAGATTCTAGAATAAGAGGGTTTCAGAGCTGCTCTGTCAAGAGGAAAGTTCAATTCTTGAAGTGGAACACAAACATCACAAAGCAGTTTCTGAGAATGTTCCTGTTTTGTTTTTCTGTGAAGATGAACCCGTTTCCAACGAAATCTTCACAGAGGTCCACATATCCACTTGCAGAATCCAAAGAAAGAGAGTTTCAACACTGCTCCATCAGCAGGATTGTTCACCTCTGTGAGTTGAATGCAGTCATCACAGGAAACATTCTGAGAATGCTTCTGTCTAGGTTTGATGTGAAGATATACCCGTTTCGAAGGAAGGCCACAAAGTGGTCCAAATATCCACTTGCAGATTCTACAAAAAGAGTGTTTGAAAGCTGAACTATGAAAGCAAGGTTCAACTCTGTGAGTTGAATGCAAACATCACAAAGAAGTTTCTCACAATGCTTCCGTGTAGTTCTGGGAAGTTTATCCCGTTTCCAACGAAATCCTCAGAGAAGTCCAAATATCCACTTGCAGATTCTACAGAAAGTGTGTTTGGAAAATGCTCCATCTAAAGGAATGTTCAGCTCTGTTAGTTCAATCCAATGATCACTAAGAATTGTCTGTGAATGCTTCCGTTTGGTTTTTAGATGAAGTTATTTCCTTTACTACAGTAGGCCTCAAAGCAGTCCAAATCTCCAATCGCAGATTCTACAAAAAGATTGTTTACAACCTGCTCTATCTATAGGAATGTTCAACTCTGTGAGTCGAATGCAATCATCACAAAGTAGTTTCTGAGAATGCTTCCATCTAGTTCTTATGTGAAGATTTTCCTTTTCCACCACAGGCCTCAAAGCCCTCCAAATGTCCACTTGCAGTTTCTAGAAAAAGAGGGTTTCAGAGCTGCTCTGTCAAGAGGAAAGTTCAATTCTTGAAGTGGAACACAAACATCACAAAGCAGTTTCTGAGAATGCTCCTGTTTAGTTTTTCTGTGAAGATGAACCCGTTTCCAACGAAATCTTCACAGAGGTCCACATATCCACTTGCAGAATCCAAAGAAAGAGAGTTTCAAAACTGCTCCATCAACAGGATTGTTCACCTCTGTGAGTTGAATGCAGTCATCACAGGAAACATTCTGAGAATGCTTCTGTCTAGGTTTGATGTGAAGATATACCCGTTTCGAAGGAAGGCCACAAAGTGGTCCAAATATCCACTTGCAGATTCTACAAAAAGAGTGTTTGAAAGCTGAACTATGAAAGCAAGGTTCAACTCTGTGAGTTGAATGCAAACATCACAAAGAAGTTTCTCACAATGCTTCCGTGTAGTTCTGGGAAGTTTATCCCGTTTCCAACGAAATCCTCAGAGAGGTCCAAATATCCACTTGCAGATTCTACAGAAAGTGTGTATGGAAACTGCGCCATCTAAAGGAATGTTCAGCTCTGTTAGTTCAATCCAATGATCACTAAGAATTGTCTGTGAATGCTTCCGTTTGGTTTTTAGATGAAGTTTTTTCCTTTACTACAGTAGGCCCCAAAGCACTCCAAATCTCCAATCGCAGATTCTACAAAAAGATTGTTTACAACCCGCTCTATCTATAGGAATGTTCAACTCTGTGAGTCGAATGCAATCATCACAAAGTAGTTTCTGAGAATGCTTCCATCTAGTTTTTATGTGAAGATTTTCCTTTTCCACCACAGGCCTCAAAGCCCTCCAAATGTCCACTTGCAGATTCTAGAAAAAGAGGGTTTCAGAGCTGTTCTGTCAAGAGGAAAGTTCAATTCTTGAAGTGGAACACAAACATCACAAAGCAGTTTCTGAGAATGCTCCTGTTTAGTTTTTCTGTGAAGATGAACCCGTTTCGAAGGAAGGCCCCAAAGTGGTCCAAATATCCACTTGCAGATTCTACAAAAAGAGTGTTTGAAAGCTGAACTTGGAAAGCAAGGTTCAACTCTGTGAGTTGAATGCAAACATCACAAAGAAGTTTCTCAGAATGCTTCCGTGTAGTTCTGGGAAGTTTAGCCCTTTTCCAACGAAATCCTCAGAGAGGTCCAAATATCCACTTGCAGATTCTACAGAAAGTGTGTTTGGAAACTGTGCCATCTAAAGGAATGTTCAGCTCTGTTAGTTCAATCCAATGATCACTAAGAATTTTCTGTGAATGCTTCCGTTTGGTTTTTAGATGAAGTTATTTCCTTTACTACAGTAGGCCTCAAAGCAGTCCAAATCTCCAATCGCAGATTCTACAAAAAGATTGTTTACAACCTGCTCTATCTATAGGAATGTTCAACTCTGTGAGTCGAATGCAATCATCACAAAGTAGTTTCTGAGAATGCTTCCATCTAGTTTTTATGTGAAGATTTTCCTTTTGCACCACAGGCCTCAAAGCCCTCCAAATGTCCACTTGCAGATTCTAGAAAAAGAGGGTTTCAGAGCTGCTCTGTCAAGAGGAAAGTTCAATTCTTGAAGTGGAACACAAACATCACAAAGCAGTTTCTGAGAATGCTCCTGTTTAGTTTTTCTGTGAAGATGAACCCGTTTCCAACGAAATCTTCACAGAGGTCCACATATCCACTTGCAGAATCCAAAGAAAGAGAGTTTCAAAACTGCTCCAACAGCAGGATTGTTCACCTCTGTGAGTTGAATGCAGTCATCACAGGAAACATTCTGAGAATGCTTCTGTCAAGGTTTGATGTGAAGATATACCCGTTTCGAAGGAAGGCCACAAAGTGGTCCAAATATCCACTTGCAGATTCTACAAAAAGAGTGTTTGAATGCTGAACTTTGAAAGCCATGTTCAACTCTGTGAGTTGAATGCAAACATCACAAAGAAGTTTCTCAGAATACTTCCGTGTAGTTCTGGGAAGTTTAGCCCGTTTCCAACGAAATCCTCAGAGAGGTCCAAATATCCACTTGCAGATTCTACAGAAAGTGTGTTTGGAAACTGCGCCATCTAAAGGAATGTTCAGCTCTGTTAGTTCAATCCAATGATCACTAAGAATTGTCTGTGAATGCTTCCGTTTGGTTTTTGGATGAAGTTATTTCCTTTACTACAGTAGGCCTCAAAGCAGTCCAAATCTCCAATCGCAGATTCTACAAAAAGATTGTTTACAACCTGCTCTGTCTATAGGAATGTTCAACTCTGTGAGTCGAATGCAATCATCACAAAGTAGATTCTCAGAATGCTTCCATCTAGTTTTTATGTGAAGATTTTCCTTTTCCACCACAGGCCTCCAAGCCCTCCAAATGTCCACTTGCAGATTCTAGAAAAAGAGGGTTTCAGAGCTGCACTGTCAAGAGGAAAGTTCAATTCTTGAAGTGGAACACAAACATCACAAAGCAGTTTCTGAGAATGCTCCTGTTTAGTTTTTCTGTGAAGATGAACCCGTTTCCAACGAAATCTTCACAGAGGTCCACATATCCACTTGCAGAATCCAAAGAAAGAGAGTTTCAAAACTGCTCCATCAGCAGGATTGTTCACCTCTGTGAGTTGAATGCAGTCATCACAGGAAACATTCTGAGAATGCTTCCGTCTAGGTTTGATGTGAAGATATACCCGTTTCGAAGGAAGGCCACAAAGTGGTCCAAATATCCACTTGCAGATTCTACAAAAAGAGTGTTTGAAAGCTGAACTATGAAAGCAAGGTTCAACTCTGTGAGTTGAATGCAAACATCACAAAGAATTTTCTCAGAATGCTTCCGTGTAGTTCTGGGAAGTTTATCCCGTTTCCAACGAAATCCTCAGAGAAGTCCAAATATCCACTTGCAGATTCTACAGAAAGTGTGTTTGGAAACTGCTCCATCTAAAGGAATGTTCAGCTCTGTTAGTTCAATGCAATGATCACTAAGAATTGTCTGTGAATGCTTCCGTTTGGTTTTTAGATGAAGTTATTTCCTTTACTACAGTAGGCCTCAAAGCAGTCCAAATCTCCAATCGCAGATTCTACAAAAAGATTGTTTACAACCTGCTCTATCTATAGGAATGTTCAACTCTGTGAGTCGAATGCAATCATCACAAAGTAGTTTCTGAGAATGCTTCCATCTAGTTTTTATGTGAAGATTTTCCTTTTCCACCACAGGCCTCAAAGCCCTCCAAATGTCCACTTGCAGATTCTAGAAAAAGAGGGTTTCAGAGCTGCTCTGTCAAGAGGAAAGTTCAATTGTTGAAGTGGAACACAAACCTCACAAAGCAGTTTCTGAGAATGCTTCTGTTTAGTTTTTCTGTGAAGATGAACCCGTTTCCAACGAAATCTTCACAGAGGTCCACATATCCACTTGCAGAATCCAAAGAAAGAGAGTTTCAAAACTGCTCCATCAACAGGATTGTTCACCTCTGTGAGTTGAATGCAGTCATCACAGGAAACATTCTGAGAATGCTTCTGTCTAGGTTTGATGTGAAGATATACCCGTTTCAAAGGAAGGCCACAAAGTGGTCCAAATATCCACTTGCAGATTCTACAAAAAGAGTGTTTGAAAGCTGAACTATGAAAGCAAGGTTCAACTCTGTGAGTTGAATGCAAACATCACAAAGAAGTTTCTCACAATGCTCCGTGTAGTTCTGGGAATTTTATCCCGTTTCCAACGAAATCCTCAGGGAGGTCCAAATATCCACTTGCAGATTCTACAGAAAGTGTGTTTGGAAACTGCGCCATCTAAAGGAATGTTCAGCTCTGTTAGTTCAATGCAATGATCATTAAGAATTGTCTGTGAATTCTTCCGTTTGGTTTTTAGATGAAGTTATTTCCTTTACTACAGTAGGCCTCAAAGCAGTCCAAATCTCCAATCGCAGATTCTACAAAAAGATTGTTTACAACCTGCTCTATCTATAGGAATGTTCAACTCTGTGAGTCGAATGCAATCATCACAAAGTAGTTTCTGAGAATGCTTCCATCTAGTTTTTATGTGAAGATTTTCCTTTTCCACCACAGGCCTCAAAGCCCTCCAAATGTCCACTTGCAGATTCTAGAAAAAGAGGGTTTCAGAGCTGCTCTGTCAAGAGGAAAGTTCAATTCCTGAAGAGGAACACAAACATCACAAAGCAGTTTCTGAGAATGCTCCTGTTTAGTTTTTCTGTGAAGATGAACCCGTTTCCAACGAAATCTTCACAGAGGTCCACATATCCACTTGCAGAATCCAAAGAAAGAGAGTTTCAAAACTGCTCCAACAGCAGGATTGTTCACCTCTGTGAGTTGAATGCAGTCATCACCGGAAACATTCGGAGAATGCTTCTGTCTAGGTTTGATGTGAAGATATACCCGTTTCGAAGGAAGGCCACAAAGTGGTCCAAATATCCACTTGCAGATTCTACAAAAAGAGTGTTTGAAAGCTGAACTATGAAAGCAAGGTTCAACTCTGTGAGTTGAATGCAAACATCACAAAGAAGTTTCTCACAATGCTTCCGTGTAGTTCTGGGAAGTTTAGCCCGTTTCCAACGAAATCCTCAGAGAGGTCCAAATATCCACTTGCAGATTCTACAGAAAGTGTGTTGGGAAACTGTGCCATCTAAAGGAATGTTCAGCTCTGTTAGTTCAATCCAATGATCACTAAGAATTTTCTGTGAATGCTTCCGTTTGGTTTTTAGATGAAGTTATTTCCTTTACTACAGTAGGCCTCAAAGCAGTCCAAATCTCCAATCGCAGATTCTACAAAAAGATTGTTTACAACCTGCTCTATCTATAGGAATGTTCAACTCTGTGAGTCGAATGCAATCATCACAAAGTAGTTTCTGAGAATGCTTCCATCTAGTTTTTATGTGAAGATTTTCCTTTTCCACCACAGGCCTCAAAGCCCTCCAAATGTCCACTTGCAGATTCTAGAATAAGAGGGTTTCAGAGCTGCTCTGTCAAGATGAAAGTTCAATTCCTGAAGTGGAACACAAACATCACAAAGCAGTTTCTGAGAATGCTTCTGTTTAGTTTTTCTGTGAAGATGAACCCGTTTCCAACGAAATCTTCACAGAGGTCCACATATCCACTTGCAGAATCCAAAGAAGGAGAGTTTCAAAACTGCTCCATCAGCAGGATTGTTCACCTCTGTGAGTTGAATGCAGTCATCACAGGAAACATTCTGAGAATGCTTCTGTCTAGGTTTGATGTGAAGATATACCCGTTTCGAAGGAAGGCCACAAAGTGGTCCAAATATCCACTTGCAGATTCTACAAAAAGAGTGTTTGAAAGCTGAACTATGAAAGCAAGGTTCAACTCTGTGAGTTGAATGCAAACATCACAAAGAAGTTTCTCACAATGCTTCCGTGTAGTTCTGGGAAGTTTATCCCGTTTCCAACGAAATCCTCAGAGAGGTCCAAATATCCACTTGCAGATTCTAAAGAAAGTGTGTTTGGAAACTGCGCCATCTACAGGAATGTTCAGCTCTGTTAGTTCAATGCAATGATCACTAAGAATTGTCTGTGAATGCTTCCGTTTGGTTTTTAGATGAAGTTATTTCCTTTACTACAGTAGGCCTCAAAGCAGTCCAAATCTCCAATCGCAGATTCTACAAAAAGATTGTTTACAACCTGCTCTATCTATAGGAATGTTCAACTCTGTGAGTCGAATGCAATCATCACAAAGTAGTTTCTGAGAATGCTTCCATCTAGTTTTTATGTGAAGATTTTCCTTTTCCACCACATGCCTCAAAGACCTCCAAATGTCCACTTGCAGATTCTAGAAAAAGAGGGTTTCAGAGCTGCTCTGTCAAGAGGAAAGTTCAATTCTTGAAGTGGAACACAAACATCACAAAGTAGTTTCTGAGAATGCTCCTGTTTAGTTTTTCTGTGAAGATGAACCCGTTTCCAACGAAATCTTCACAGAGATCCACATATCAACTTGCAGAATCCAAAGAAAGAGAGTTTCAAAAGTGCTCCATCAACAGGATTGTTCACCTCTGTGAGTTGAATGCAGTCATCACAGGAAACATTCTGAGAATGCTTCTGTCTAGGTTTGATGTGAAGATATACCCGTTTCGAAGGAAGGCCACAAAGTGGTCCAAATATCCACTTGCAGATTCTACAAAAAGAGTGTTTGAAAGCTGAACTATGAAAGCAAGGTTCAACTCTGTGAGTTGAATGCAAACATCACAAAGAAGTTTCTCAGAATGCTTCCGTGTAGTTCTGGGAAGTTTATCCCTTTTCCAACGAAATCCTCAGAGAGGTCCAAATATCCACTTGCAGATTCTACAGAAAGTGTGTTTGGAAACTGCGCCATCTAAAGGAATGTTCAGCTCTGTTAGTTCAATCCAATGATCACTAAGAATTGTCTGTGAATGCTTCCGTTTGGTTTTTAGATGAAGTTATTTACTTTACTACAGTAGGCCTCAAAGCAGTCCAAATCTCCAATCTCAGATTCTACAAAAAGATTGTTTACAACCTGCTCTATCTATAGGAATGTTCAACTCTGTGAGTCGAATGCAATCATCACAAAGTAGTTTCTGAGAATGCTTCCATCTAGTTTTTATGTGAAGATTTTCCTTTTCCACCACAGGCCTCAAAGCCCTCCAAATGTCCACTTGCAGATTCTAGAAAAAGAGGGTTTCAGAGCTGCTCTGTCAAGAGGAAAGTTCAATTCTTGAAGTGGAACACAAACATCACAAAGCAGTTTCTGAGAATGATCCTGTTTAGTTTTTCTGTGCAGTTGAACCCGTTTCCAACGAAATCTTCACAGAGGTCCACATATCCACTTGCAGAATCCAAAGAAAGAGAGTTTCAAAACTGCTCCATCAACAGGATTGTTCACCTCTGTGAGTTGAATGCAGTCATCACAGGAAACATTCTGAGAATGCTTCTGTCTAGGTTTGATGTGAAGATATACCCGTTTCGAAGGAAGGCCACAAAGTGGTCCAAATATCCACTTGCAGATTCTACAAAAAGAGTGTTTGAAAGCTGAACTATGAAAGCAAGGTTCAACTCTGTGAGTTGAATGCAAACATCACAAAGAAGTTTCTCAGAATGCTTCCGTGTAGTTCTGGGAAGTTTATCCCGTTTCCAAAGAAATCCTCACAGAGGTCCAAATATCCACTTGCAGATTCTACAGAAAGTGTGTTTGGAAACTGTGCCATCAAAGGGAATGTTCAGCTCTGTTAGTTCAATCCAATGATCACTAAGAATTGTCTGTGAATGCTTCCGTTTGGTTTTTAGATGAAGTTATTTCCTTTAATACAGTAGGCCTCAAAGCAGTCCAAATCTCCAATCGCAGATTCTACAAAAAGATTGTTTACAACCTGCTCTATCTATAGGAATGTTCAACTCTGTGAGTCGAATGCAATCATCACAAAGTAGTTTCTGAGAATGCTTCCATCTAGTTTTTATGTGAAGATTTTCCTTTTCCACCACAGGCCTCAAAGCCCTCCAAATGTCCACTTGCAGATTCTAGAAAAAGAGGGTTTCAGAGCTGCTCTGTCAAGAGGAAAGTTCAATTCTTGAAGTGGAACACAAACATCACAAAGCAGTTTCTGAGAATGCTCCTGTTTAGTTTTTCTGTGAAGATGAACCCGTTTCCAACGAAATCTTCACAGTAGGTCCACATATCCACTTGCAGAATCCAAAGAAAGAGAGTTTCAAAACTGCTCCATCAGCAGGATTGTTCACCTCTGTGAGTTGAATACAGTCATCACAGGAAACATTCTGAGAATGCTTCTGTCTAGGTTTGATGTGAAGATATACCCGTTTCGAAGGAAGGCCACAAAGTGGTCCAAATATCCACTTGCAGATTCTACAAAAAGAGTGTTTGAAAGCTGAACTATGAAAGCAAGGTTCAACTCTGTGAGTTGAATGCAAACATCACAAAGAAGTTTCTCAGAATGCTTCCGTGTAGTTCTGGGAAGTTTATCCCGTTTCCAACGAAATCCTCAGAGAGGTCCAAATATCCACTTGCAGATTCTACAGAAAGTGTGTTTGGAAACTGCGCCATCTAAAGGAATGTTCAGCTCTGTTAGTTCAATGCAATGATCACTAAGAATTGTCTGTGAATGCTTCCGTTTGGTTTTTAGATGAAGTTATTTCCTTTACTACAGTAGGCCTCAAAGCAGTCCAAATCTCCAATCGCAGATTCTACAAAAAGATTGTTTACAACCTGCTCTATCTATAGGAATGTTCAACTCTGTGAGTCGAATGCAATCATCACAAAGTAGTTTCTGAGAATGCTTCCATCTAGTTTTTATGTGAAGATTTTCCTTTTCCACCACAGGCCTCAAAGCCCTCCAAATGTCCACTTGCAGATTCTAGAATAAGAGGGTTTCAGAGCTGCTCTGTCAAGAGGAAAGTTCAATTCCTGAAGTGGAACACAAACATCACAAAGCAGTTTCTGAGAATGCTTCTGTTTAGTTTTTCTGTGAAGATGAACCCGTTTCCAACGAAATCTTCACAGAGGTCCACATATCCACTTGCAGAATCCAAAGAAAGAGAGTTTCAAAACTGCTCCATCAGCAGGATTGTTCACCTCTGTGAGTTGAATGCAGTCATCACAGGAAACATTCTGAGAATGCTTCTGTCTAGGTTTGATGTGAAGATATACCCGTTTCGAAGGAAGGCCACAAATTGGTCCAAATATCCTCTTGCAGATTCTACAAAAAGAGTGTTTGAAAGCTGAACTATGAAAGCAAGGTTCAACTCTGTGAGTTGAATGCAAACATCACAAAGAAGTTTCTCAGAATGCTTCCGTGTAGTTCTGGGAAGTTTATCCCGTTTCCAACGAAATCCTCAGAGAAGTCCAAATATCCACTTGCAGATTCTACAGAAAGTGTGTTTGGAAAATGCTCCATCTAAAGGAATGTTCAGCTCTGTTAGTTCAATGCAATGATCACTAAGAATTGTCTGTGAATGCTTCCGTTTGGTTTTTAGGTGAAGTTATTTCCTTTACTACAGTAGGCCTCAAAGCAGTCCAAATCTCCAATCGCAGATTCTACAAAAAGATTGTTTACAACCTGCTCTATCTATAGGAATGTTCAACTCTGTGAGTCGAATGCAATCATCACAAAGTAGTTTCTGAGAATGCTTCCATCTAGTTTTTATGTGAAGATTTTCCTTTTCCACCACAGGCCTCAAAGCCCTCCAAATGTCCACTTGCAGATTCTAGAAAAAGAGGGTTTCAGAGCTGCTCTGTCAAGAGGAAAGTTCAATTCTTGAAGTGGAACACAAACATCACAAAGCAGTTTCTGAGAATGCTCCTGTTTAGTTTTTCTGTGAAGATGAACCCGTTTCCAACGAAATCTTCACAGAGGTTCACATATCCACTTGCAGAATCCAAAGAAAGAGAGTTTCAAAACTGCTCCAACAGCAGGATTGTTCACCTCTGTGAGTTGAATGCAGTCATCACAGGAAACATTCTGAGAATGCTTCTGTCTAGGTTTGATGTGAAGATATACCCGTTTCGAAGGAAGGCCACAAAGTGGTCCAAATATCCACTTGCAGATTCTACAAAAAGAGTGTTTGAAAGCTGAACTATGAAAGCAAGGTTCAACTCTGTGAGTTGAATGCAAACATCACAAAGAAGTTTCTCACAATGCTTCCCTGTAGTTCTGGGAAGTTTATCCCGTTTCCAACAAAATCCTCAGAGAAGTCCAAATATCCACTTGCAGATTCTACAGAAAGTGGGTTTGGAAACTGCTCCATCTAAAGGAATGTTCAGCTCTGTTAGTTCAATCCAATGATCACTAAGAATTGTCTGTGAATGCTTCCGTTTGGTTTTTAGATGAAGTAATTTCCTTTACTACAGTAGGCCTCAAAGCAGTCCAAATCTCCAATCGCAGATTCTACAAAAAGATTGTTTACAACCTGCTCTATCTATAGGAATGTTCAACTCTGTGAGTCGAATGCAATCATCACAAAGTAGTTTCTGAGAATGCTTCCATCTAGTTTTTATGTGAA
Organism: Homo sapiens; assembly: GCF_000001405.40. Lineage (NCBI taxonomy): Eukaryota > Metazoa > Chordata > Mammalia > Primates > Hominidae > Homo > Homo sapiens. Next base: position 51,634,866 of record NC_000011.10, on the reverse strand, counting down.
GATTTTCCTTTTCCACCACAGGCCTCAAAGCCCTCCAAATGTCCACTTGCAGATTCTAGAATAAGAGGGTTTCAGAGCTGCTCTGTCAAGAGGAAAGTTCAATTCCTGAAGTGGAACACAAACATCACAAAGCAGTTTCTGAGAATGCTTCTGTTTAGTTTTTCTGTGAAGATGAACCCGTTTCCAACGAAATCTTCACAGAGGTCCACATATCCACTTGCAGAATCCAAAGAAAGAGAGTTTCAAAACTGCTCCATCAGCAGGATTGTTCACCTCTGTGAGTTGAATGCAGTCATCACAGGAAACATTCTGAGAATGCTTCTGTCAAGGTTTGATGTGAAGATATACCCGTTTCGAAGGAAGGCCACAAATTGGTCCAAATATCCACTTGCAGATTCTACAAAAAGAGAGTTTGAAAGCTGAACTATGAAAGCAAGGTTCAACTCTGTGAGTTGAATGCAACCATCACAAAGAAGTTTCTCAGAATGCTTCTGTGTAGTTCTGGGAAGTTTATCCCGTTTCCAACGAAATCCTCAGAGAGGTCCAAATATCCACTTGCAGATTCTACAGAAAGTGTGTGTGGAAACTGCTCCATCTAAAGGAATGTTCAGCTCTGTTAGTTCAATCCAATGATCACTAAGAATTGTCTGTGAATGCTTCCGTTTGGTTTTTAGATGAAGTTATTTCCTTTACTACAGTAGGCCTCAAAGCAGTCCAAATCTCCAATCGCAGATTCTACAAAAAGATTGTTTACAACCTGCTCTATCTATAGGAATGTTCAACTCTGTGAGTCGAATGCAATCATCACAAAGTAGTTTCTGAGAATGCTTCCATCTAGTTTTTATGTGAAGATTTTCCTTTTCCACCACAGGCCTCAAAGCCCTCCAAATGTCCACTTGCAGATTCTAGAAAAAGAGGGTTTCAGAGCTGCTCTGTCAAGAGGAAAGTTCAATTCTTGAAGTGGAACACAAACATCACAAAGCAGTTTCTGAGAATGCTCCTGTTTAGTTTTTCTGTGAAGATGAACCCGTTTCCAACGAAATCTTCACAGAGGTCCACATATCCACTTGCAGAATCCAAAGAAAGAGAGTTTCAAAACTGCTCCATCAGCAGGATTGTTCACCTCTGTGAGTTGAATGCAGTCATCACAGGAAACATTCTGAGAATGCTTCTGTCTAGGTTTGATGTGAAGATATACCCGTTTCGAAGGAAGGCCACAAAGTGGTCCAAATATCCACTTGCAGATTCTACAAAAAGAGTGTTTGAAAGCTGAACTATGAAAGCAAGGTTCAACTCTGTGAGTTGAATGCAAACATCACAAAGAAGTTTCTCAGAATGCTTCCGTGTAGTTCTGGGAAGTTTATCCCGTTTCCAACGAAATCCTCAGAGAGGTCCAAATATCCACTTGCAGATTCTACAGAAAGTGTGTTTGGAAACTGCGCCATCTAAAGGAATGTTCAGCTCTGTTAGTTCAATCCAATGATCACTAAGAATTGTCTGTGAATGCTTCCGTTTGGTTTTTAGATGAAGTTATTTCCTTTACTACAGTAGGCCTCAAAGCAGTCCAAATCTCCAATCGCAGATTCTACAAAAAGATTGTTTACAACCTGCTCTATGTATAGGAATGTTCAACTCTGTGAGTCGAATGCAATCATCACAAAGTAGTTTCTGAGAATGCTTCCATCTAGTTTTTATGTGAAGATTTTCCTTTTCCACCACAGGCCTCAAAGCCCTCCAAATGTCCACTTGCAGATTCTAGAAAAAGAGGGTTTCAGAGCTGCTCTGTCAAGAGGAAAGTTCAATTCCTGAAGTGGAACACAAACATCACAAAGCAGTTTCTGAGAATGCTGTCTGTTTAGTTTTTCTGTGAAGATGAACCCGTTTCCAACGAAATCTTCACAGAGGTCCACATATCCACTTGCAGAATCCAAAGAAAGAGAGTTTCAAAACTGCTCCATCAGCAGGATTGTTCACCTCGGTGAGTTGAATGCAGTCATCACAGGAAACATTCTGAGAATGCTTCTGTCTAGGTTTGATGTGAAGATATACCCGTTTCGAAGGAAGGCGACAAAGTGGTCCAAATATCCACTTGCAGATTCTACAAAAAGAGTGTTTGAAAGCTGAACTATGAAAGCAAGGTTCAACTCTGTGAGTTGAATGCAAACATCACAAAGAAGTTTCTCAGAATGCTTCCGTGTAGTTCTGGGAAGTTTATCCCGTTTCCAACGAAATCCTCAGAGAGGTCCAAATATCCACTTGCAGATTCTACAGAAAGTGTGTTTGGAAACTGCACCATCTAAAGGAATGTTCAGCTCTGTTAGTTCAATGCAATGATCACTAAGAATTGTCTGTGAATGCTTCCGTTTGGTTTTTAGATGAAGTTATTTCCTTTACTACAGTAGGCCTCAAAGCAGTCCAAATCTCCAATCGCAGATTCTACAAAAAGATTGTTTACAACCTGCTCTATCTATAGGAATGTTCAACTCTGTGAGTCGAATGCAATCATCACAAAGTAGTTTCTGAGAATGCTTCCATCTAGTTTTTATGTGAAGATTATCCTTTTCAACCACAGGCCTCAAAGCCCTCCAAATGTCCACTTGCAGATTCTAGAATAAGAGGGCTTCAGAGCTGCTCTGTCAAGAGGAAAGTTCAATTCCTGAAGTGGAACACAAACATCACAAAGCAGTTTCTGAGAATGCTTCTGTTTAGTTTTTCTGTGAAGATGAACCCGTTTCCAACGAAATCTTCACAGAGGTCCACATATCAACTTGCAGAATCCAAAGAAAGAGAGTTTCAAAAGTGCTCCATCAACAGGATTGTTCACCTCTGTGAGTTGAATGCAGTCATCACAGGAAACATTCTGAGAATGCTTCTGTCTAGGTTTGATGTGAAGATATACCCGTTTCGAAGGAAGGCCACAAAGTGGTCCAAATATCCACTTGCAGATTCTACAAAAAGAGTGTTTGAAAGCTGAACTATGAAAACAAGGTTCAACTCTGTGAGTTGAATGCAAACATCACAAAGAAGTTTCTCAGAATGCTTCCATGTAGTTCTGGGAAGTTTATCCCGTTTCCAACGAAATCCTCAGAGAAGTCCAAATATCCACTTGCAGATTCTACAGAAAGTGTGTTTGGAAACTGCTCCATCTAAAGGAATGTTCAGCTCTGTTAGTTCAATCCAATGATCACTAAGAATTGTCTGTGAATGCTTCCGTTTGGTTTTTAGATGAAGTTATTTCCTTTACTACAGTAGGCCTCAAAGCAGTCCAAATCTCCAATCGCAGATTCTACAAAAAGATTGTTTACAACCTGCTCTATCTATAGGAATGTTCAACTCTGTGAGTCGAATGCAATCATCACAAAGTAGTTTCTGAGAATGCTTCCATCTAGTTTTTATGTGAAGATTTTCCTTTTCCACCACAGGCCTCAAAGCCCTCCAAATGTCCACTTGCAGATTCTAGAATAAGAGGGTTTCAGAGCTGCTCTGTCAAGAGGAAAGTTCAATTCCTGAAGTGGAACACAAACATCACAAAGCAGTTTCTGAGAATGCTTCTGTTTAGTTTTTCTGTGAAGATGAACCCGTTTCCAACGAAATCTTCACAGAGGTCCACATATCCACTTGCAGAATCCAAAGAAAGAGAGTTTCAAAACTGCTCCATCAGCAGGATTGTTCACCTCTGTGAGTTGAATGCAGTCATCACAGGAAACATTCTGAGAATGCTTCTGTCTAGGTTTGATGTGAAGATATACCCGTTTCGAAGGAAGGCCACAAATGGTCCAAATATCCACTTGCAGATTCTACAAAAAGAGTGTTTGAAAGCTGAACTATGAAAGCAAGGTTCAACTCTGTGTGTTGAATGCAAACTTCACAAAGAAGTTTCTCAGAATGCTTCCGTGTAGTTCTGGGAAGTTTATCCCGTTTCCATCGAAATCCTCAGAGAAGTCCAAATATCCACTTGCAGATTCTACAGAAAGCGTGTTTGGAAACTGCTCCATCTAAAGGAGTGTTCAGCTCTGTTACTTCAATCCAATGATCACTAAGAATTGTCTGTGAATGCTTCCGTTTGGTTTTTAGATGAAGTTATTTCCTTTACTACAGTAGGCCTCAAAGCAGTCCAAATCTCCAATCGCAGATTCTACAAAAAGATTGTTTACAACCTGCTCTATCTATAGGAATGTTCAACTCTGTGAGTCGAATGCAATCATCACAAAGTAGTTTCTGAGAATGCTTCCATCTAGTTTTTATGTGAAGATTTTCGTTTTCCACCACAGGCCTCAAAGCCCTCCAAATGTCCACTTGCAGATTCTAGAAAAAGAGGGTTTCAGAGCTGCTCTGTCAAGAGAAAAGTTCAATTCTTGAAGTGGAACACAAACATCACAAAGCAGTTTCTGAGAATGCTTCTGTTTAGTTTTTCTGTGAGGATGAACCCGTTTCCAACGAAATCTTCACAGAGTTCCACATATCAACTTGCAGAATCCAAAGAAAGAGAGTTTCAAAAGTGCTCCATCAGCAGGATTGTTCACCTCTGTGAGTTGAATGCAGTCATCACAGGAAACATTCTGAGAATGCTTCTGTCTAGGTTTGATGTGAAGATATACCCGTTCGAAGGAAGGCCACAAAGTGGTCCAAATATCCACTTGCAGATTCTACAAAAAGAGTGTTTGAAAGCTGAACTATGAAAGCAAGGTTCAACTCTGTGAGTTGAATGCAAACATCACAAAGAAGTTTCTCACAATGCTTCCGTGTAGTTCTGGGAAGTTTATCCCGTTTCCAACGAAATCCTCAGAGAAGTCCAAATATCCACTTGCAGATTCTACAGAAAGTGTGTTTGGAAACTGCGCCATCTAAAGGAATGTTCAGCTCTGTTAGTTCAATGCAATGATCACTAAGAATTGTCTGTGAATGCTTCCGTTTGGTTTTTAGGTGAAGTTATTTCCTTTACTATAGTAGGCCTCAAAGCAGTCCAAATCTCCAATCGCAGATTCTACAAAAAGATTGTTTACAACCTGCTCTATCTATAGGAATGTTCAACTCTGTGAGTCGAATGCAATCATCACAAAGTAGTTTCTGAGAATGCTTCCATCTAGTTTTTATGTGAAGATTTTCCTTTTCCACCACATGCCTCAAAGCCCTCCAAATGTCCACTTGCAGATTCTAGAAAAAGAGGGTTTCAGAGCTGCTCTGTCAAGAGGAAAGTTCAATTCTTGAAGTGGAACACAAACATCACAAAGTAGTTTCTGAGAATGCTCCTGTTTAGTTTTTCTGTGAAGATGAACCCGTTTCCAACGAAATCTTCACAGAGATCCACATATCAACTTGCAGAATCCAAAGAAAGAGAGTTTCAAAAGTGCTCCATCAACAGGATTGTTCACCTCTGTGAGTTGAATGCAGTCATCACAGGAAACATTCTGAGAATGCTTCTGTCTAGGTTTGATGTGAAGATATACCCGTTTCGAAGGAAGGCCACAAAGTGGTCCAAATATCCACTTGCAGATTCTACAAAAAGAGTGTTTGAAAGCTGAACTATGAAAGCAAGGTTCAACTCTGTGAGTTGAATGCAAACATCACAAAGAAGTTTCTCAGAATGCTTCCGTGTAGTTCTGGGAAGTTTATCCCGTTTCCAACGAAATCCTCAGAGAAGTCCAAATATCCACTTGCAGATTCTACAGAAAGTGTGTTTGGAAACTGCGCCATCTAAAGGAATGTTCAGCTCTGTTAGTTCAATGCAATGATCACTAAGAATTGTCTGTGAATGCTTCCGTTTGGTTTTTAGATGAAGTTATTTCCTTTACTACAGTAGGCCTCAAAGCAGTCCAAATCTCCAATCGCAGATTCTACAAAAAGATTGTTTACAACCTGCTCTATCTATAGGAATGTTCAACTCTGTGAGTCGAATGCAATCATCACAAAGTAGTTTCTGAGAATGCTTCCATCTAGTTTTTATGTGAAGATTTTCCTTTTCCACCACAGGCCTCAAAGCCCTCCAAATGTCCACTTGCAGATTCTAGAATAAGAGGGTTTCAGAGCTGCTCTGTCAAGAGGAAAGTTCAATTCCTGAAGTGGAACACAAACATCACAAAGCAGTTTCTGAGAATGCTTCTGTTTAGTTTTTCTGTGAAGATGAACCCGTTTCCAACGAAATCTTCACAGAGGTCCACATATCAACTTGCAGAATCCAAAGAAAGGGAGTTTCAAAACTGCTCCATCAGCAGGATTGTTCACCTCTGTGAGTTGAATGCAGTCATCACAGGAAACATTCTGAGAATGCTTCTGTCTAGGTTTGATGTGAAGATATACCCGTTTCGAAGGAAGGCCACAAAGTGGTCCAAATATCCACTTGCAGATTCTACAAAAAGAGTGTTTGAAAGCTGAACTATGAAAGCAAGGTTCAACTCTGTGAGTTGAATGCAAACATCACAAAGAAGTTTCTCAGAATGCTTCCGTGTAGTTCTGGGAAGTTTATCCCGTTTCCAACGAAATCCTCAGAGAGGTCCAAATATCCACTTGCAGATTCTACAGAAAGTGTGTTTGGAAACTGCGCCATCTAAAGGAATGTTCAGCTCTGTTAGTTCAATCCAATGATCACTAAGAATTGTCTGTGAATGCTTCCGTTTGGTTTTTAGATGAAGTTATTGCCTTTACTACAGTAGGCCTCAAAGCAGTCCAAATCTGCAATCGCAGATTCTACAAAAAGTATGTTTACAACCTGCTCTATCTATAGGAATGTTCAACTCTGTGAGTCGAATGCAATCATCACAAAGTAGTTTCTGAGAATGCTTCCATCTAGTTTTTATGTGAAGATTTTCCTTTTCCACCACAGGCCTCAAAGCCCTCCAAATGTCCACTTGCAGATTCTAGAAAAAGAGGGTTTCAGAGCTGCTCTGTCAAGAGGAAAGTTCAATTCGTGAAGTGGAACACAAGCATCACAAAGCAGTTTCTGAGAATGCTCCTGTTTAGTTTTTCTGTGAAGATGAACCCGTTTCCAACGAAATCTTCACAGAGGTCCACATATCCACTTGCAGAATCCAAAGAAAGAGAGTTTCAAAACTGCTCCATCAGCAGGATTGTTCACCTCTGTGAGTTGAATGCAGTCATCACAGGAAACATTCTGAGAATGCTTCTCTCTAGGTTTGATGTGAAGATATACCCGTTTCGAAAGAAGGCCACAAAGTGGTCCAAATATCCACTTGCAGATTCTACAAAAAGATTGTTTTCAACCTGCTCTATCTATAGGAATGTTCAACTCTGTGAGTCGAATGCAATCATCACAAAGTAGTTTCTGAGAATGCTTCCGTGTAGTTCTGGGAAGTTTATCCCGTTTCCAACGAAATCCTCAGAGAGGTCCAAATATGCACTTGCAGATTCTACAGAAAGTGTGTTTGGAAACTACGCCATCTAAAGGAATGTTCAGCTCTGTTAGATCAATGCAATGATCACTAAGAATTGTCTGTGAATGCTTCCGTTTGGTTTTTAGATGAAGTTATTTCCTTTACTACAGTAGGCCTCAAAGCAGTCCAAATCTCCAATCGCAGATTCTACAAAAAGATTGTTTACAACCTGCTCTATCTATAGGAATGTTCAACTCTGTGAGTCGAATGCAATCATCACAAAGTAGTTTCTGAGAATGCTTCCATCTAGTTTTTATGTGAAGATTTTCCTTTTCCACACAGGCCTAAAAGCCCTCCAAATGTCCACTTGCAGATTCTAGAAAAAGAGGGTTTCAGAGCTGCTCTGTCAAGATGAAAGTTCAATTCTTGAAGTGGAACACAAACATCACAAAGCAGTTTCTGAGAATGCTTCTGTTTAGTTTTTCTGTGAAGATGAACCCGTTTCCAACGAAATCTTCACAGAGGTCGACATATCAACTTGCAGAATCCAAAGAAAGAGAGTTTCAAAACTGCTCCATAAACAGGATTGTTCACCTCTGTGAGTTGAATGCAGTCATCACAGGAAACATTCTGAGAATGCTTCTGTCTAGGTTTGATGTGAAGATATACCCGTTTCGAAGGAAGGCCACAAAGTGGTCCAAATATCCACTTGCAGATTCTACAAAAAGAGTGTTTGAAAGCTGAACTATGAAAGCAAGGTTCAACTCTGTGAGTTGAATGCAAACATCACAAAGAAGTTTCTCAGAATGCTTCCGTGTAGTTCTGGGAAGTTTATCCCGTTTCCAACGAAATCCTCAGAGAGGTCCAAATATCCACTTGCAGATTTTACAGAAAGTGTGTTTGGAAACTACGCCATCTAAAGGAATGTTCAGCTCTGTTAGATCAATGCAATGATCACTAAGAATTGTCTGTGAATGCTTCCGTTTGGTTTTTAGATGAAGTTATTTCCTTTACTACAGTAGGCCTCAAAGCAGTCCAAATCTCCAATCGCAGATTCTACAAAAAGATTGTTTACAACCTGCTCTATCTATAGGAATGTTCAACTCTGTGAGTCGAATGCAATCATCACAAAGTAGTTTCTGAGAATGCTTCCATCTAGTTTTTATGTGAAGATTTTCCTTTTCCACCACAGGCCTCAAAGCCCTCCAAATGTCCACTTGCAGATTCTAGAAAAAGAGGGTTTCAGAGCTGCTCTGTCAAGAGGAAAGTTCAATTCTTGAAGTGGAACACAAACATCACAAAGCAGTTTCTGAGAATGCTCCTGTTTAGTTTTTCTGTGAAGATGAACCCGTTTCCAACGAAATCTTCACAGAGGTCCACATATCCACTTACAGAATCCAAAGAAAGAGAGTTTCAAAACTGCTCCATCAACAGGATTGTTCACCTCTGTGAGTTGAATGCAGTCATCACAGGAAACATTCTGAGAATGCTTCTGTCTAGGTTTGATGTGAAGATATACCCGTTTCAAAGGAAGGCCACAAAGTGGTCCAAATATCCACTTGCAGATTCTACAAAAAGAGTGTTTGAAAGCTGAACTATGAAAGCAAGGTTCAACTCTGTGAGTTGAATGCAAACATCACAAAGAAGTTTCTCACAATGCTTCCGTGTAGTTCTGGGAAGTTTATCCCGTTTCCAACGAAATCCTCAGAGAAGTCCAAATATCCACTTGCAGATTCTAGAGAAAGTGGGTTTGGAAACTGCTCCATCTAAAGGAATGTTCAGCTCTGTTAGTTCAATCCAATTATCAGTAAGAATTGTCTGTGAATGCTTCCGTTTGGTTTTTAGATGAAGTTATTTCCTTTACTACAGTAGGCCTCAAAGCAGTCCAAATCTCCAATCGCAGATTCTACAAAAAGATTGTTTACAACCTGCTCTATCTTTAGGAATGTTCAACTCTGTGAGTCGAATGCAATCATCACAAAGTAGTTTCTGAGAATGCTTCCATCTAGTTTTTATGTGAAGATTTTCCTTTTCCGCCACAGGCCTCAAAGCCCTCCAAATGTCCACTTGCAGATTCTAGAATAAGAGGATTTCAGAGCTGCTCTGTCAAGAGGAAAGTTCAATTCCTGAAGTGGAACACAAACATCACAAAGCAGTTTCTGAGAATGTTTCTGTTTAGTTTTTCTGTGAAGATGAACCCGTTTCCAACGAAATCTTCACAGAGGTCCACATATCCACTTGCAGAATCCAAAGAAAGAGAGTTTCAAAACTGCTCCATCAGCAGGATTGTTCACCTCTGTGAGTTGAATGCAGTCATCACAGGAAACATTCTGAGAATGCTTCTGTCTAGGTTTGATGTGAAGATATACCCGTTTCGAAGGAAGGCCACAAAGTGGTCCAAATATCCACTTGCAGATTCTACAAAAAGAGTGTTTGAAAGCTGAACTATGAAAGCAAGGTTCAACTCTGTGAGTTGAATGCAAACATCACAAAGAAGTTTCTCACAATGCTTCCGTGTAGTTCTGGGAAGTTTATCCCGTTTCCAACGAAATCCTCAGAGAAGTCCAAATATCCACTTGCAGATTCTACAGAAAGAGGGTTTGGAAACTGCTCCATCTAAAGGAATGTTCAGCTCTGTTAGTTCAATCCAATGATCACTAAGAATTGTCTGTGAATGCTTCCGTTTGATTTTTAGATTAAGTTATTTCCTTTACTACAGTAGGCCTGAAAGCAGTCCAAATCTCCAATCGCAGATTCTACAAAAAGATTGTTTACAACCTGCTCTATCTATAGGAATGTTCAACTCTGTGAGTCGAATGCAATCATCACAAAGTAGTTTCTGAGAATGCTTCCATCTAGTTTTTATGTGAAGATTTTCCTTTTCCACCACAGGCCTCAAAGCCCTCCAAATGTCCACTTGCAGATTCTAGAAAAAGAGGGTTTCAGAGCTGCTCTGTCAAGAGGAAAGTTCAATTCTTGAAGTGGAACACAAACATCACAAAGCAGTTTCTGAGAATGTTCCTGTTTAGTTTTTCTGTGAAGATGAACCCCTTTCCAGCGAAATCTTCACAGAGGTCCACATATCCACTTGCAGAATCCAAAGAAAGAGAGTTTCAAAACTGCTCCATCAGCAGGATTGTTCACCTCTGTGAGTTGAACGCAGTCATCACAGGAAACATTCTGAGAATGCTTCTGTCTAGGTTTGATGTGAAGATATACCCGTTTCGAAGGAAGGCCACAAAGTGGTCCAAATATCCACTTGCAGATTCTACAAAAAGAGTGTTTGAAAGCTGAACTATGAAAGCAAGGTTCAACTGTGTGAGTTGAATGCAAACATCACAAAGAAGTTTCTCACAATGCTTCCGTGTAGTTCTGGGAAGTTTATCCCGTTTCCAACGAAATCCTCAGAGAAGTCCAAATATCCACTTGCAGATTCTACAGAAAGTGTGTTTGGAAACTGCTCCATCTAAAGGAATGTTCAGCTCTGTTAGTTCAATCCAATGATCAGTAAGAATTGTCTGTGAATGCTTCCGTTTGGTTTTTAGATGAAGTTATTTCCTTTACTACAGTAGGCCTCAAAGCAGTCCAAATCTCCAATCGCAGATTCTACAAAAAGATTGTTTACAACCTGCTCTATGTATAGGAATGTTCAACTCTGTGAGTCGAATGCAATCATCACAAAGTAGTTTCTGAGAATGCTTCCATCTAGTTTTTATGTGAAGATTTTCCTTTTCCACCACAGGCCTCAAAGCCCTCCAAATGTCCACTTGCAGATTCTAGAATAAGAGGGTTTCAGAGCTGCTCTGTCAAGAGGAAAGTTCAATTCCTGAAGTGGAACACAAACATCACAAAGCAGTTTCTGAGAATGCTTCTGTTTAGTTTTTCTGTGAAGATGAACCCGTTTCCAACGAAATCTTCACAGAGGTCCACATATCAACTTGCAGAATCCAAAGAAAGAGAGTTTCAAAAGTGCTCCATCAACAGGATTGTTCACCTCTGTGAGTTGAATGCAGTCATCACAGGAAACATTCTGAGAATGCTTCTGTCTAGGTTTGATGTGAAGATATACCCGTTTCGAAGGAAGGCCACAAAGTGGTCCAAATATCCACTTGCAGATTCTACAAAAAGAGTGTTTGAAAGCTGAACTATGAAAGCAAGGTTCAACTCTGTGAGTTGAATGCAAATATCACAAAGATGTTTCTCAGAATGCTTCCGTGTAGTTCTGGGAAATTTTGCCCGTTTCCAACGAAATCCTCAGAGAGGTCCAAATATCCATTTGCAGATTCTACAGAAAGTGTGTTTGGAAACTGCTCCATCTAAAGGAATGTTCAGCTCTGTTAGTTCAATCCAATGATCACTAAGAATTGTGCTGTGAATGCTTCCGTTTGGTTTTTAGATGAAGTTATTTCCTTTACTACAGTAGGCCTCAAAGCAGTCCAAATCTCCAATCGCAGATTCTACAAAAAGATTGTTTACAACCTGCTCTATCTATAGGAATGTTCAACTCTGTGAGTCGAATGCAATCATCACATAGTAGTTTCTGAGAATGCTCTTCCATCTAGTTTTTATGTGAAGATTTTCCTTTTCCACCACAGGCCTCAAAGCCCTCCAAATGTCCACTTTCAGATTCTAGAAAAAGAGCTTGTCTCTGCTAAAAATAGAAAATTAGCCTGGAGTGGTGGTGCATGCCTGTGATCTTAGCTACTTAGTAGGCTGAGGCAGGAGGATCACTTGAGCCCAGGAGCTTCAGTGAGCTGTGACCACACCACTGCATTCCAGCCTGGGCAGCAGAGCAAGACCCTGTCTCAAAAAGAAAA